>NC_000012.12:114429824-114581340 GCF_000001405.40 Homo sapiens
CCAACCCGGCCAGGGTGGTGAAACCCCCTCTCTACTAAAAATACAAAAAAATAGCTGGACATGGTAGCAGGCACCTGTAATCCTAGCTACTCGGGAGGCTGAGGCAGGAGAATCGCTTGAACTTGGGAGGTGGAGGTTGCAGCGAGCTGGAATCATGCCACTGCACTCCAACCTGGGTGACAGAGCATGACTCTGTCTCAGAAACAAAACAAAACAAAAAACAAAAATAAATAAATAAATAAATAATAAATAAAACTGAAAAAGAAAAAAAAAGAATAAAACAAATGTCCTGAGGCACTTGTTCTTACGATGTGCCAAAATCTGAAAGAGTTTGATATTAAAATCAAAATTGCCTTTGAGTTGTAAAAGCATGTAAATGTACAACTTTATTCCAAAGACTTATATTTTCTTTCCACCTAAAATGAAATTGCAGGCTTAAATTTCATTTGGTAAAATATAAAACTTCTGGATCAGAAGTTTTATTTTTCAACAAAAAAAAAATGGCTGCATTTCACAGAATCCTAGAATTCTTACCTAAAAATTAAACTGGGCCAGAATCACTGGGGATTAGTCACTCTTCCCACGTGATAACCACATTTCTTAGATGACAACATTGCTGTGAATTTGCCAAGAAGGCAGTAAGGAGGCCCTGCTTCAATGCAGGATCCACTATTTTGTGGTTTGTGCCATCATCTGAAACTTAGATCTGAGTAGAGTCTGAGCCCACGTCTGCATATGGCTAACCACCAAGGGTGTAAACAAGAGGCTCTCCGGATATACACTCTATATGCATGGTATGAGTTTGCTAGGACTGCCGTAACTAAATACCACAGACTGGGTAGATTAAACAATAGAAACATATTTTCTCATGATTCTGGAGACTGGAAGTCCAAGAGCAAGGTGTTGGTGGGGTTGATTAAGTACTGAGGTCTCCTTCCTTGGCATGCAGATGGCTGCTTTTCCCCTATCTTTACTTTGTCTTGCCTCTGTCTGCATTTTTGTGTCCTGATCGCCTCTTCTTAAAAGGACACCAGTCATATGGACGAGGGCCCACCCTAATGACCTCATTTTATTTTCATTATCTCTTTAAAGGCATTGCCTCTAATTACAGCCACATTCTGAGGTACTAGGGATTAGAACTTGAGAACACGAATTTTGGAGGGACACGATGCACCCAATAGCATAGGTGCCAGGCACAGACACTTTACATGCTTGAGCTTATGCAACGCTCAAAACAACCCCATGAAGATGGCAGTATCATCCCCATTTTACTGGTGGGTAAACTGAGGCTCAAAGGGGTTAAGTAACTTGAATGTAGTTATACAGCTGCTAAATATTAGTGCTGAAACTTGAGTCTGACTGACACCAAAGCCTACACTCTTAACCATCACCCTAAAGTGTCCCACACCCTTGGCCATCCACAAGATGATTTTAAGTGTGTGACCAGATGAACTTTAGGAGAAATGTTAATATGTATCTCTTTATTGTAATGTATGCTATTTAAAAAGAGGAACCCAACAAACCCATAATGGTTTCAGATGAAGCCGAAATAGACATTTAGCTTTAGAAAAGTAAATAAAAGAGAAAATAGAATAGACGGTGCTTGAATATGGCAAAAGTCATTAAGTGAATTTAACAGTAACTAAATTCAGAAAACAGTGATTTCTGTATCATACGACCACATTACAAAGTCATCAGTTTGCCGTTTGTCAGCTCAACACCCAGACTCATCTCTTTCAACGGTATTTAACCTCTAACTAAAGACGATCACGAAGCCGTACTTCTGCCTAACATGATACAACTGTCCCACATACAACTGAAACTGTGCTGACCCTTTCCCCACAAGAGAAAATAAACTGCCTTTGTCTTTGAGTAGTGCCTATTCTTCTTCTAGCTGATTTAAACTATTATAAAACATCTATTTCATCATGCACCTTGCCTTCTCTGTGTGTGTGTATGTGTATACGTCTGTGTGTGTGTGTGTGTGTGTGTGTGATACGTCTGTGTGTGTGTGTGTGTTTGTGTTTCTGTCCTTCTCTCTTTTCGGCCCTTTTATTCCTATACCCCTAGCCTTTGGAAAAATAAGCCAGCCATTACACCATTAGGACTTGGCTGAAAGAACAGGTTGGAACCACTGGTTAAGTTTTCCTTCTAATTTCTTCCCTTCCTCCTGGATGTGCTGCATTCTCTCCCTGCCGCCAACAGCAGCCAGCATCTTTCATCAGTTATTCACCATGGATGCTGGGGCTTTATTAGCAAATGAAAATGGCCCAACTCCAGCTGACATCAATGGGGTCTCAGCTAGGAACAGGACCAGAGCATTTCCTGTGGCCCCAGACTCAGACAAACCAGTTTGAAGAGGAGCCAATTGGCTTTACCCAAGCTACCAGTGAGCTATTTTTGACATAAAAGATGCTGAATTTAGCTGATAACTGATTAAAGAAATTTTAAACACAGCTAGTTTGGGTTTTAATATCTTGGCAGTCGTGGCAGATAGACAAAGGAAAGATACCAAATTTGTTCAGGCAAGTTATTTTTGAAAACAATTAATCAAATCCCATCAAGAAACCAATTGCTTGCAAAACAACTGTTTGATTGAGTTGCATCTGTGTATTTTCCTCTCTCTCCCATCTTTCTACTACCTAAATCAGTTTATGTAGGAAAACAAAGCCTTAATATTTTCATGAACCTGAAGTTGGCACAGCAATGAGAAAAATTCCATGAACACACCAATATGGTATGTTCCTTTCCTCTTCTAAGACAAACCAATTTCAAAAGTTAAGATAAAATTTTCTGAAATGTTTTGAGTATGTATGCAATAGTAAAATACTTTCTGGTATCCAGCCAGAAAGTAATATCTTTAAATCCACTTCAGATCTTTGATTTTCCATAGTTCGAAAAAAAAAGGGGGGACTCACCCAGTTCTTTCATCTGTTTCTTTATAACAACCTTATCTTGCAAGGCAAGAAAGTATCATTGTTTTTCCTTAAGACCCGGAGAACAAGACACCCAGAAAGTCCGAGGGACCTGCCCAGGCTCCACAGTCATCAATTAGTCCAGAATGGTTCAGTTGTGTAGTTTAAGTCTTGGCTTCATATTCCCTCCTCTGGGTTGTTTGGTATGGTTTGATATAAAATTTTATCGAAATTCCTTTTGCTTATTTTCAAGCCTATAAAAATGAGACAGCAACTAAGAAGAACTGTCCAGTTCAGTCCTAACGATCATTTTTGAACTTTGAAATACTTATCCTTAATTAGAGTCTGGTCAGCGCTATCACAGTATAATGCAACAGTAATATTCTTATGAGGATGTATAATAGCTGCTCATTATTGCAGGTTTGCCACATACAGCTTTTTAAATCTCTGCCTCAACCTTTAAGAGCCAGCCCTCATGTTCCCATTTTACAAAGAAAGAAACTGAGGTTCAGTAAAGTGAAGGCTGCCCCAAACCACACATGCAGATGTTGACATTGAAAATATTTAGCAAAGTTAGCAGTGTGCATACTCAAAGTCCCAGCAATTCTACTCAAAATAAACCTTTCACATATAAAAATAAATGGCGTATGTGAAGAAGCAGATACAAAGATGTTTGCTGTATTGTCTGTAATGGTTTTTAAATTTAATTTAATTTAATTTTTTTTTTTGGAGACAGAGTCTCGCTCTGTTACCCAGGCTGGAGTGCAGTGGCGCAATCTCGGCTCACTGCGAGCTCTGCCTCCCAGGTTCACGCCACTCTCCTGCCTCAGCCTTCCAAGTAGCTGTGACTACAGGCACCTGCCACCTCACCCGGCTAATTTTTTTGTATTTTTAGTAGAGATGGGGTTTCACCATGGTAGCCAGGATGGTCTCGATTTCCTGACCTCGTGATCCACCTGCTTTGGCCTCCCAAAGTGCTGGGATTACAGGCATGAGCCACCGCGCCCGGCCATCTGTAATGGTTATGAAAAAAATATAAAAATCCATCAGCTGAGAAAGTGACCTTGGGCTAATTACTTAACTGTATGTTTCTTATCTGGAAAATGAGGATAGCAATAGCAACTATTTCACAGGTGTGAGGATTAGGTGAGTTCATTACATAAAATGGTTAGAACAGTACTTGGCACATAGAAAGTATTATGCAAGTATTAGCTGCAATTATTATTCAATCATAGGTTATTATGTTGCAATTAAAATAAATGAAATATGTTTATATAATATAATATTAATATTTACAACTATATATTATCCACCAACATGTATTAAACTCAGAAGTATAATATTGAATAAAAAAGCAAATTGTAGACCTGTATATATAAGATTTATGCAAATTAAAAAACACAAGCCAAAAGTTTGCATTGCTAAGAGACAAGTGTATATTTTATAAACGTATAAGAAATTAGACTGCAAGTAATTTATCAAAATTATGACAGTGGTTTTCTCTAAGAAGAGGAAGAGGAAGGGGGACAAAATTATAAAAGGAAAAAGCACTTGAACTTTATAGTATTTTGCTTCTGTTATTAAAAAAAAAAGATTTGAAGTGAATATGACCACTTGTTAATATGTGTTTTTTCTAGATGTGAGTACATAGGTATTTGACATATTAATCTATGTACTTTTCTGTATTTAAACAGCTTTTTAA
Organism: Homo sapiens; assembly: GCF_000001405.40. Classification (NCBI taxonomy): domain Eukaryota; kingdom Metazoa; phylum Chordata; class Mammalia; order Primates; family Hominidae; genus Homo; species Homo sapiens. The sequence goes on from NC_000012.12 coordinate 114,434,442, forward strand.
GTATAAAGAAAAAACCCACAAAGTTTTTGTTTATGTTGCTATGAGAAGCTCACACTCAACAGATTTGAGATCTTGCTATCCTTCTGTTTTTTTGGCTTCATTCCTGGCAGGGAGAAGGGGTAGATTGTACTTGCGAATGACCAAAAAAATAAAAAAAAACCGCATCATTTACTATCCAACTGTGCAATGATCTTTGCAAAGAACTATGAAGTCATTTTCAAAACCCATCTGCAGGGAAGAGGCCAGCATTTGTCTTTGTACCTATAAAGTACAGAGACCTTCACCCACGCCCTGAGCATCAGAGACCACTCTATCACCAAGGGGACCAGAAAAGAATGCAGGGGAAATATCATATTCTAGGGTCCCCCAATATTTTACACAAAGTGAGGATTCAACTTAAATAAATGATATGTGAACACACTTCTTAAAGAGAATAAAGTTTTATCCAGACAAATTCATTTTAAAAGTTGATGTAGTTTGTGCATAACCTTAAATTTGTAAATGCCACCCTGCTTTTTAATATGACCACAAACATTTTCAAGTTTAATGCAAATTTTATGTCTTATTGAGGTCTATTCATATACAATGTGGCCAGATTCTGGGTTCAGGCATTTGCCTCAACTGCCTATGTAACCACATATACAGGCGTATGCATACACACACACACACACCCCAGAGTAGTAACAGAAATGCTAGTTCTATTTTGTACAGAACCACCAAATACAACATTTTTCTATTTGGAAGAAGCCAGTATTAGAAAATTTTAACATCTTTCTCCTTTTTAGACATTGGAAGTTATAAGATACTTTCACTGATGGTAGAATCTTAATTCTTCACTTATTTTCCTAGTTATGGTCTAAGATACTGTCACCTACACTGCATCAGGAAGAAATTTGGTGGGGAAGAATGCACAGTCACACACACAGAATAGAACACAACTATGTATTAAGATAATAAAGTACTAATTATCTTAGCTCCTCTCATAAATAAAGGAGTGTTTGTGCTAGGCACAACTCTAGATGCTTTACATTGCTTTGTCACATTTAATCTGCATAGGAAACCTTTCAGGCGGGTATTGGTATCATCCCCTTTTTCAGATGAGAAAACCAAAGCATGGCCTTTGAGGAACCAGGCCAAGTACATAGACCTAAAAAGTCATGGACCAGTGTGTGGATCCAGGCTCTTACACACTAGGCCATGGCTATATGTTGGGTCTAAAAGGTAATGATTCAAATAAGAAAAAAATCAATCCTCTTACACACTAGGCCATGGCTATATGTTGGGTCTAAAAGGTAATGATTCAAATAAGAAAAAAATCAATCATGCTTAGATTATATCCAGAAAATATACAAGAAAGAGGTCACAGTTGGATGGCCTCAGAAAAGCAAACTAGAGGACTGGGGAAAGGAGCTGAGATAGAAATGTATTTTCACTGTATAACTTCTAAAAAATAGAAATCGAATTTGATTTTTGTAATAATTTGAATTAAATTTTTATAATATGCAAGTATGTATGAAACTGACACACATTTTGCTACCTTGGCTGTGCAGTGCCTTGGACATCCTAAGTGTTCCAGAGCTATTTGCTGACTTGGCCACGAGTTAGTTCCATGTGCCAAAAAATATGATTCCTGGTATCTTTCTGGGGCCTTGCTGTGGTAGCAGAGGAATGCATTTGAAGTTTGGAGGCCTCACCTGCAGAAGCCCAATCCTCAGATAAGAGGAAATTTGGTTAACAGCCCCAGCTCCTACGTTTAAGGGCTCCCCGCAGGAATCTTGGCCCCACATCCGGATCTTAACCGAGAATTTTTCCAAAGCCAAATTCTCACACCCCATTACCTTTCAGGGCTTAGTGCTGGCTCCAAGAATGAAGACCTGCTAGGATTTATGGGAACTGCTGGAGAAAGAAACAGGACTTGTGAGTCCATGGGTGGGTTTCCTATGAACAGCCGAGGGACTGACTGATTTCTGTCTCCATCAAGTCTACCTTTCCATGCCGTCTGCCACCATGTAGTTCAGCAAATTGTCTTTGAATTTGCATTAGAACCAGTTGGCCTGCTTTGGTCTGGACTTAGCTGTTCTCCTTCCAGTATTTTATTTTCATTTATTCAATTGTGAGTGGTGGGAGATGGGGTGGAAATTAAGGGATGGGGGAGTGGCTGGAAGTCTTAGGAGAATAAATGGAGAAAAGAAAGAGGATATGGAAGTAGAGGTCAGTTAGATTGTAATCATTTGCTTTCGGAAACAGACTATCTGGGTTGGAAAGCATCTTATCAGGTATGTGAGCTTGGGCAGGAGATTTGTTGCTAAGAGCCTCAGTTTATACACCTGTAAAATAGGACTAAGAATGCCTCTCTTGCAGAGCTGATGTGAGAATGAAGTGAGGTATTTTTAAGGCAGTTGCCACAACTTCTACATGGGGTGAGTGTTCATCAGGTGGAGACTACTATTCTGAAAGGGAGAGGAGAATGAGAGAAAGCAATAAGAAGGCTGCAGAGAAAAAGAAAAGACCATGAGGACAGCAACCATTTTCTATTATTTTTTTCAATTCATTTAAAAATTATGTATAGCATAAGTAGGACATGTGAAAGGCAAAGAAAAAAACCTGAAAACGTATAAAACAGTATACAGTGCAAAGCAGATTTTCCTTCTTCAGTTATTTAGTTGGCTCTGCCTGGAGGTAACCACGGTGACAGGGTGGCAGTGTCTTTTATGCCCCTCTGGGGAATCACTACACACACACACACACACACACACACACACACACACACACACACGGTTGCTTGCTATACAAACCATTCTGCCTGTTGCTTTTAGTTTCATTGTCCTTTGCTTATATCCTAGAGATGCTTTCATATTTGTACATACAGAAAGCCCTTGATCTGTTCTATAGCTGCATAATATGTCACTGCCCCTCTTATTATAATCAGTTTAACCAGCTCCCCATTTATGCCCACCAAGTCATTTTCAAACTTTGGCAGTGCTGCATTGAACATCCTCATACAAATGCCATTTTGCAAATGCAGGACTACATCTGTAGGATAAACACCTAGGACAAAAATTGCTATGTCAAAAGGTTGTGCTGTCATCATTTTGATGGCACACCAAATTGCCACCCCCCACAGGAGTTGTAAGTGCCCATGTTGGAGTGCTTATTACCCACACCCTCAACAACACGATATGCTAATTGAATATGTTTCATCTACACCAACCTTACTGGATTCCAAGCTTTAAAAGGGCCAGGCAATCAATGGCTAGGAGAAGGGCTCAGCAGCTTGCTGCTTGGGTCATTCCAGAAAGCCAGACTTAAAGGGCATGCACTTATGAAAATGAACTGTGATGGAGCCAGGATTTCTTTCCTGAAGTCGCTCCCTTGATCTCCACACAGGAGCGCCTGTTTCTCCAGTCTCTAGCACAGGTCCCCAGCATGGGCCCCTAGGAAGCCTCTTCCCTTCCCTCCATGAGGATAGGATCACCCTGGTATTGCCACTGGCTCAGGTATGTCAACATATTCTCCCTGTCTGGTCTGAATTGCAGGCTGAGCTTAAGGCCTGGAAGGAAGTGACCTCTTATTAATAAGGAGGCTTTGGAAAGGTGGATAGGGGTGGAGGCTACTCCTGGGGGCAGAGTGGTCAGATGTTAATATTCTCATCACTTGGGAAAAGGAGCAGGAGTGTAGAATTCCTGCACTCTTTGTCAAACCAAAGAAGTGAAATGGTTGGAAGATGAATGTTGTTGGCTCTGAACAGCATATTATGGAACATGAACCTTTTCATTCAGGTGTATTTATGGGTTTATATTTACCCAATAAATATAACAATGGATGAACAGCTGTTGAGAAGGGGAGACCTGGGCTCCTAGGGAGGAAAAATAGAGATCTGTCATCCAGGAAGGGAGCTAGGTGGTCTCAAAAGGATTTTTATCATGGGTGGTTTATTTGTCTTCTTGAAATTCGTGCTAAATCTTAGCAAGATTTTCTCAGGAGCTCCTAGAACAAAGATGGAAATCAAATGGACAGCTGATATGCGCAGACCCTGGTATGCTCACGTGCATGATAACGCACCGGTGTCCTGCTGATAACTGGATAGCTCACCCCTTCCAAATGGACAATCTCGTTGGCCATGGAAAGTTTGAGTTCTTACTAATCTTTCAGCCCCTCACCTCTCCAATGTATCCAGCCCTGGAGAGGCTAGTGTTAACTGAATGCAGCACTTCTTGATGCTGCTATCGAAATGTTCTCCTCCCCTTTCTAATTCTCTCCAGGCCAGTGCGACCTGTTTTTAGTTAAATTTGCCATAATCAAGGAAGTTTAAGTTCAATTGCACCACATTCTGGGCCAAGACATGAAGAATTAATCATAGAATGGGAAAAGAAAGAGAAAAAAAAAAAAGAAAAAGAAAAGGAGGAAATAGATGGGGGATTGCGAAATAGAGTGAACAAAGAGAAAAAAAAAGACACCAGAAAGGAGGGACTTTGAAACATTGCAAATGTGGGGAGAACAACAAGAAAATTGGGCATGAAGTGAGAAAGGATGAGGCAAGGAGAAAAGGGGGAAGAAGACCAAAAAAAAGAAAAGAACTTAGAAAGAAAGTTGTGAGGGAGGGATGGAGGGAGGGAGAAAGGGCGGAGGAGGGAAGAAGGGAAAGGAAACCGAGGAAAGAAAAAAATGAAAAAGGGGGAAAGAGGACGTAACAAGAAAGACTATGGAGGGAAAAGAAGAAAACAAATGAGACCCAGAAAACGCTAAATAATGAAAAATGAAGTAAGACAGCTTTCTGAACTGTAAGGCTTCCGAAATTCTTTCCAAGGAACCTCTGCGACGCACTTTTGTGGCAGCACATACATCCTAACCTCTTAAACTAGCTTTAGCTCTTGGCTAGGCGTATAAAGGCACTTTCGATTAAGTCTAATTAGCGAGCCCGAGCTAAAAGGCCGCCACAGCGGCGGGGCCCAGGGAGAAAAAGCAGCGTTCCCAATTCCCATGCTTCCAGCTCCAGGTTGTCGGTCTTTTGTCAGCCTCCGAAGCCAGGGTGCTCAACCTGGCCCCCTTTCTTTCCTGCTGGTGAGGCCACCCGCTTTGGGACAGAACTCTGGGCCTGCGCCTCAGCTCTCCCTCTTAGCGCCCCGGCGCCCCGGCTTCCCAAGCCTGGGGACTGAGCCCGCAGACGCCCATGGCGCATTGGCGAGCGCCCGGCTGGGAGTCAGCTTGGAAACCCACAACTCGCCTTTCTTGAGCGGCCAGACTTAGGATTCTTTACGATACTAACCTGTAATTTACACATTACATTATATTATATATTTTATATATAATTATATTATTATATATTATACTGGAATTTACACATTTTGATTCCGCCTGTAATTTGCCCTTGGAGCTCCGATGCCATAAAATCCATGGGATCTGGCAGAGGAACCCCCACCTCACCCCCTAAGGCCCCAGCTCTCCCTGAACTTCCCTAAGCTGCTACAAATAATCGCGTGGAAGACGGCCAAGAATAACCAGAAAATAAACACAGCTCCCCCGGCCCTCTGAACGCAGGCCGCGGGTCCCTCCAGGCCCCACCTGGCTCTTCTCCGGCCTAGGGGAGGCGAGGAGGCCGCGCCACGATCTCTGTACTCATTGTTCCCATGGCGCTGCCCTTAACCCTCGAAGGACTGCTCCCGGACCTCGATTCCAAGCAGGGTGACCCTCTGGCCTTTGTCCCCGCTGTCTTTCCTAGCAGGAAAACTGTCGGGAATTCAACCTCTGTCAAAAAATAAAAACAAAAAACAAGAACAAACACCCAAACCCCAACAACAAAGAGAGAACGCGGACTCCAGACAGTTTTCTCCTTTCAACTCTAGAACTTTCCCGGAAACATAAGACACCCAGTGCTCATCGTTACACCCTTAGGTCTGCGCCTGCGGGTGGGGGCCACGGGCTGTGCCGGAGCGCATAGCCGCGGGTGTGCCCTTAATTTTCATATATATAATGAAGTGTCTGCGCGCTAACGCGCCTGCAAATAATGTGTGTGCGCAAAGACGTTTCTGTCTACAGATAATTACGCGTAAATTATCCGTGGCAAACAACATATGCAAACGACATATGCAAACAACATATGCAAACGATTATCTATGTGCAGATAATTCCATGCCCACGAGCCGACAGATTTGCAATTCTCAAGTACTTCTATGTGCATGTAATTCTACGGGCAAATTGTTCCGAGTGCAAGGGATTTGGTGTGTGTGTCAGTGATTGCACCGCTGAAAACAATTCTGTAGATGTGTCGATGCCTTTAGAAGAAAGGGCTCCAAAGAATCGTGTCTCGATGGTTGGTCAGCGCGCGCATCTGCGGCACTGGCTAAATCCCGGGAAGCAGCGCGGAGAAACAAAAAGTGCTTTTCTTCCAGCCATGCCTTCTCCCTGCGGAAACCGCCTGCTCCCTGCGCCGCACGGAAAGCAGAAGGCGGAAGGGTGGGTTAGGTGTTCTGGGTTCTCCGGCCTCCTCCAAGCTTCGTGCTCGGTGAGGTACGGCGCGTTCAGGTTGCTGCATCAGTTTGCACAGCGCTGTGCCGCGCTCAGTCGGGAATTGCCACAGACGCCCGATTTCCTCGGTGCCATGTGGGCTCCTAGCTGCCGCCACAGAGCGGCCGGATCCTACCAGGGTTTCCCAGTGCCCGGGTACCTGCAAGAATCTTCCCAGGACGGGAGCAGTGGGCACTGAGCAGCGCTGCCGGGAGAAAGATGTTGCGTTTTGCCAAGCGCTCACCCGCGCTTCAAAACCCCAGTCGGTAAGACCTTGCGTCCCCCACGGGCACTAAAATGGCGAAGCACGTCCTGGCTAACGCAGTCTGTCTCTTACAGCACGCTCACGTGCGCCTAGAATTATAATACAATATAACACATCGTAATATCGGATATTATACCACGTTTACCTCCCATTAGGATGTGTATATTGTGTTAGGCTGTGCTTATGTGTTTGTTACGACGTGCTGTGATACTGTATCTTTCAGTCTCACTACCACGTGCCACGCACCTACTCGTTTATTTCATTCGCACAATGACCCTGCAGGTAGGAGTCATTTCCAGCACTGCCTACTCCAGGCCCAGAGAGGGGAAGGCACTTACACAGAGTCACCCTGCAAGAAAGGGGCAGGGCTTGGACTGGAACCCACAGCCTGAGGACTGGCCTAGGAGTGAAAAGCAGACATCCACCAACATAGCTCGACACGAAGCTTTCCTACGCCACACATTGCTGTTTCTGGAATAGCCCAACAATATATATTTATTTTATTACATTCTCACCATCTGGCTGAGAGGAGCCGCTACCAGCGTGCATGCTGCAACCTGTTGGCTGAGGACCCAGTATGGACAGGCCTCCAGTTCTACTACAGAACAATCTTGATCCAGCCATTCCCTCCTCCTGCCTCCTTCATTGGCTCCTCCTAACAACCCTAAGAGGGGAGTACTGTTATCACGGTTCACAGATGAGAGCTAGGTTCAGAGAGGTTAAATTGCTTTCCCAACATCACTTAGCAAGTGAGGGAAGAGGTTCAGCTTCGGCATTCAGACTCCAGAGCCCTTGATTCTGAAAGCTGCATTTCCAGACCCAGACCCGCTCCGAAGTGTCCCCAGTTTAATTCGAGTTGAAGAGTTGATGGAGGACCGCCAGTGGGAAACAGGTTCTAATGAGGATATATTCTTAATGTTTGGGAGTTGGGCACATCCTTGGGATGCAATAGAATCTCTGGATGTTGCCTCCCGTGGGGAGGTGTTCCTGAACTCCAATTAAAGTCTTTAGAACCAGCATCATGGTCCAGGACCTCATTGTAATTAGCTGGAGATCTGCAGGCTGCCTTCCTGATGACAGGGCTGAGGACTGATCCTTCACATATTCCAACCTTTCCTCCTCTTTGTGTGCTGCTGGAGGAGGAAGAGGGTGTGCACACGCTTGGACATGTGTTTAATCCCCTCTCCAGCTGCAAAAGTCAGGAGTCTCTGTGCCCTCAAAAATATCCCCAACAACTGGAAGACCATAACCAACCACAGCCTTTAAGGAACTCCCAGAGCAGGGACTTCTGGATCTTCTCTCAAACTTCCCTGTCTCTAGGCAGAGATCTACACTGGTGAAATTAAGGGAAGGGAAAGGAATCAAGATCCAGTCCAGCTGGATTATGTGGACTCCTGCCCCAGGCAGCCACATATTTCCCACCACCACCACCCACCCATACCAAAGTTGTTGGGGGAGACTTTGTGGACAGATTCACTGGACTTTGTTAGTGTAGAACCAGCCTCTATCCTTGAGGTCTGTCATAGATTACAAGATGCAGGGGCCTGAAGAAACAAAAGTGTTAGAAATTGGTGCTTTCTGGGGAAAATGGGATCCACTGGGATTGAGATCCAACAGACATTTCCTAAATAGAAAACATTGACACGGTTGTCCCAAACCCTAGCCCTGTTCCTCTGCTGCCCAGTGACCTTGGTTCAACACACACAAACACAAACACAGACACAAACACACAGCCTCTAAATGCAGGAAGAGAGTTTCAAACAAATACAGGAGATTTGTTTTGTTTGCCTTTCTTTCTTTCTCTTTCTTTCTTTCTTTCTCCTTTCAAGGTAAAAGGGGTGTATTTACACTTCTCGTGACATAATGGAGATGAAAGAAAATTAGAAAATTATGTGGAAATTTTGGCCCATCTTCTCATTTCCCTTATACACTTAATTATCTGGAAATTTGGGAAAAGTTGAGACATCTAGTGTGTGGATGACCAGAGAGATTGCTTTAATTCTCTAATTTGGGAAACCTGGTGGGGCTGCCTCTGAAGCTCTTCTTCCAGCCATGAACATACTCAGAAGCCCAAGAAGCTCAGAGAAGATGCCAAGGTAACCACCACTCTCATCACCACACCCATCTCTCCCTCCCTTCTCCATCACAACCTTGGGAGCATTGTGGAATTTGCCAGGGAAAAATAAATCCAGAAGTACTGTATCAGAAAAATTCAGGAGAGTGAGCAGGCATCCAGCCACAGCTGGAGAGCAGAACACTGTGCTAATACAATCTGGACGGTTGTCCCCATAACAGCAGATGTTGACTACCTGGCAAATCCAGGAAATTCTGGGAAATTCAGTATAACATTTGGATAATTGACAGTTTTGCCTAGGTAATTCAAGAGACTCATGATGGAGGAATCCGTAATTAGGCAGCCAATTCAAACCTCTCTAAACGAGTTTAGGTTAGTTTAAGTTAGCTGTGTTTTGTTTTAATTCAGAATGCTCAGTTTTCACTGGAATTTCCACCTGGGCCACACTCACGGAGGCAGAGAACAGCCCGTCCCGGTGGCCACTTTTCTTGGCCAAGCCCCCAGAGCAAATCCCTGGGGGCCCTGCAGGGCTAGAGTGGAGGCCACTGGGAGGGGAGGGTCGCTGGGGTCGCTGGGCGCGCGCGCGCGGAGCAAATTTGCCCGCGCGCACCCAGAAACGATGACATAAGTGGCGCTGATGAGCGCTGCGCGGCTGAAACGCGACTACATAAAGGGTCCGCCGGCAGCGTGGGCCGGAGGGATTGCTTCACACTCCGGAATTGGGCCCAGACACATTTAGAAATGTTTTGCTGGACGTGTGCCCCGCAAGGGCGACAGCGGCAGCCGGCAGCCTGGGTGAAGCTGCGCCGCTGGTCACAGGCTGGCGCGCGGCGGCGGCCACAGAGGCGTCCTAGGTGGAGAATGCTTCTGCCTTTGCCTGTTCTCCCCTAACCCCCACGTTTGTATGCCTCCTGGGGACAGGGGTCTGTCTGCAGCCTGCAGCGCCCCAGCTGTGACCAGAGAAGCATTAAGGAGCGGCGCGGGCAAGAATTTGGCATCAAAGGAAATACTGTAGGTTTCAGCATCGGTCTCTCCCGCTGATCGTCGGGCTCCGCGGGGCACAGGACCAACCTGGTCACAGCTGGGCCTCCAGAGCTCAGCACCGAGCCTGAAACTAATGGGATATTTATCAAATCAATGAATGAACCCAGAAATCAGGCTTTCAACCCTAACATTCTCCTCATTCACTATGAGACACGGAATGCCTCTCTCTGGCCCTGTCTCCTCTGTAGAGTAACAGGGCAGTCTTTCGGGTTCTGCCCACGCTCTTACAACTCAGTCATAAGAAGCGATAACCACAGAAACATCTGACACTAATTGACCACCTACACTTTTCTACGAGCTTTGCAGTCACTTAATCTCCCAACAACCATCGGGGTAGATACCGTTATATCGCCATTTTACAGAGAAGCAAACGGGAGGTCAAACAGGCTGACCCAGGCCGCCTAGTTCCTGCGGGGATTTGACGACTGTGGGAATCCCGTGCTCGGAAGGCGGGCGTTGCTACAGGGCACGATGAATGTTGAGCCCGTGCCCCAATTTCGCCAGACTTAACGACAATTCCTACACAAGTCCCCCCAGCAACAAGGAGGGCCAGCCTTCGCTCCTGCTTCTCTCTTAGTTGTATATCTGGAGCCAAGGAGTCCAAAACAGCTCACCAGCTCTAAGTGCACACATATCAGGGCTGGGAGCCGGAACCGCCTGGGCATGCGTTCCTGCGCGCTTACTCCTGAGGCCAGGGAAAAAGGTTTGCCTGCGATCCTGACCAAGGCCACGCATTAAAAGACTGCGTGGAATCCTTAAAGCCTCTAAGAATCTAACGTCCTAAGAAAGACCACCCCAGAAGTAGATGTGATGTACCTAAGCCCTGGCATTCGGGCTCTGCGCCTCACCAGCGTCTTTACGCACAGGCGCAATTGCGCCGGGCACTAGGGCGCAAACCCGGATCCTGCGCGCTGGCTTCTGTTACCTCCCGGCTTCGACTTCGGCTGCTGCACACTCGTCAAAGTAATGAATGGAGAGAGAAAAGAAGAGGGGGGGAGGGAGGGGGCATTGTGAAGGGGGTGGAATATTTTGGAAATAATACCCTGAGAGAAGGAAATATGGACAACAGTTTATCAGCACCCCCGCCCCCATTGTCCGCATGTTTAAAACCCCTAAGTAATTTTAGATTGTGTCTTCAGTTAATATATCTCTCTCTCTTTCCCGCGGGCTGACAGAGAAGCGCGGTTGCTGCAAGATGTCTGCAGAAATGGGTCTTTAAAAGTTTCCACATTGTTTAGCTACACAAACGTGTTTGCGGTTCCCGAGGCCCTCCCCCTCCCCCACCCGCCTCCGAATCTCATTTCACTTTACGACTCCAATTGTTTGAGGATCCCCGCGCCACATAAATCCTGCTTCGAGATTAATCTCCCTGCTCGCTCGCGCTGGGCGCAGTGATTTTTTTTTTCTTTCTTTCTTTCTTTTTTTTTTTTTTTTTTTTTGAGTTCTTTAAAAGAGGGCGCCGGGCGGAGATTTATTAACAAGGAAAAATAGTTTATTTTTATAGCCGATCTCAGAAAGGTGGGGGTGGAAGTGGGCCGGGAAGGAGAGCGCTTCATATGGATAAACAGTGAGGCTGAGAAGGCCGGGGGGGGGGTGTTAAAGACCACTTCAGCTGGCGACTTGAACTTTTCTCACTGCCCTCAGCTCGGCTGTGGATGCTTAGCCAGGGGTTTGCCGGACTAAGGCAATAACTGGGAGGTGTGCCATTGTGGGTCGGCTGTTGGGTTGTGTGTGAGCGAGGATCCCATTATATTCCCTGGGACAAGCCTCTTCAGAGACATGGAGCCAAGGTAGAATTCCCCAAACAGGCTTCTTCTCCTCCAGGGCTGTGAGCTTTGGGTTAGTTGGAGTGGAGGTTCTTAACATGACTCCATGGATGGCTGTCACAGGTCTTCAGAGCCTGGATGCTGGTCTCAAAATTGTATTTTGGGTGTATTTTTCTGGAGAAAGTCCATAGTTTTCATCAGTGTCTCCACGGGTACTTTGCCATCCTAAAGGTTAAACATCTAGTAATTAAGGATAGAGCTAAGCTGAACCTTTCATCTTTTCAAGCCACTGGTAGCCTGCAAACTCAAGTTGTGGTCTTCAACTAGTTTAGCATTGCCCTTGAAGAGTAACCATAGCCAGGAGTCCTAATCAAGTGCACTGTGGAAGCCAGTTTCTGGGTGAATTGTGGACTGGTGATGAGCTTGTTTAGAGCTAATAATCGATTAGATCTGATACTTAGCATCAGATCAAGAACCAACGGCCCATGTGTTACTTTTAACCTCTAACTGGCTGTCTGACCTTGAACCAGTGGCAACTCCTGTCTGGGCCTCAGTTTCCCTTTGGGAAGAGACATTTCTGAAGTGTGTACATGTGTGTACTGTCTTTCACAGCCAAGAGCCTTAAGGGTACATGTAAGGAAAGAACACGTCATCTTGTTTTTTTTTGTTGTTTGTTTGTTTTTGAGACAGGGTCTCACTCTGTTGCCCAGGTTGGAGTACAGTGGCACATTCACAGCTCACTGCAGCCTCAACCTCCTGGGCTCCAGTGATCTTCCCACCTCAGCCTTCCCAGTAGCTAGTACTACAGGCATATACCACCAAGCCTAGGTAATTATTTTTAATTTTTAAATTTTTTGTTGAGGTGGAAGTCTCATGTTGCCCAGGCTGGTCTTGAACTCCGGGACTCAAGTGATCCTCCCGCCTGAGCCTCCCAAAGTGCTGGAATTACAGGTGTAAACCACCACCTGGGGCCTGTAATCTTGTAATGTTCCATCCTGCATCGACAACTCCCTGAGCTTCTGGTGGAGAAGGATGGTTCTTAACCTCAGAGGGAATGTGGATCCCACTGAGAACCTGACTTTAGAAAGATGTACCAAAAAGAGAGAGAGAGAGAAAAGCACTTACTTAAATAGGCGATTCTGTATACAGTGTTGCAGGGCCCCTCAACAGGTCTTATGAGGCCCCCTGTTTAAAGTAAAGAGAAGCCGCCTCAGCGAGCCTCTGGGCTCCGGGCCATGTGAGCCGGTTGGCCAGAGCCTGGCGGGTTCCGTGCTTGGCTAGCCAGCGGAGCGGGGTGAGAGGGTGAGAGAAGGACGCTTCTCCTTTGATTCGCAGACCCGGGCGCAGCCGGAGACCGCCCGGCACCGCGGCGTCTGTCTGTCTGAGCGCCTACTCGCGGGTCCTCTGCTGCCCCGAGTGAACTCTAGGCGCAGCTGGACCGGGGTGAGGGCGCGCGGTGAGCCCAGGCCAAGCGCTGGAAGAAACGAACTGGGGGCCGAGTTCGGGCGGCGATCTGCCGGGGACCCAGTCCTGAGCGGCTTGTTTGGGATACTGGGATTAAGGCCTCAGAGGAGCACATGGCTAGCCTCTGCAGCCCTCGGAGGGTCACTGACGCCCCCTGCTTTTCCTTCCAAATGTCTTTCCCCGAGGCTGGGGACACCTGTTCTGAGCAGAAGAGGGCAATGGTTCAACCTGTTTGACCCCGCCCGGGTCTCCTTCTGCGGGAACATACGCCCCAGTCAGCTGAGGTGCCGGCTGACTTTCCCCAGACAGTGCCAAAATGTTCTAATAACAATAGACAACCAAAAATAAGGCTTCTTCTACTTTATAAAGATCTTCCAACTCTACATCTTACCAAACGCCAACAACCCACTTAGTTCATAATAGAACTTCTCTCTGCAAGATGAGGAGGCTGGGTCCAGAGAGGTTAAGCAAGCGGCCCAGGAATGCACAGTAGTGGAAAGCCTGGACCTAAACTCAAGACTTCAGACTAAATTTCTGTCATTTTCGACTATACCACAAACAATTTCTTACAACAGGTTCTCCCACCCCAAGACAAGGCACCCCAATACGCATGCTAGCATCGCGGTGGGATGGAGCCCACGCCAAGCCTGAGCCAGGAGTCCCAGGTCGAGCTGTGGGAAAGAGAAAATGCGGATCGGAGGTCAGGTGCACCCTTACCGGCAACTTGGGGTACACAACCGGGGTCCCAGCATCACCTCCCCTCGCCCCGCGCTCATGTCCCCACTCTGAGGCCCGTGGGCACTGAGGTGGCACCGACCTCCCAGGACCCCTGCATTGCCTCACACTTTCACTTCCCTCCCTGCTCCGCAGTGTCCATAAAATACCAGCCGTTCACCTGCCTATAGCGAACGGATCCGAGGGTGGAGGCAATGACTTACCTGGTTGTGGGTGGATGGATGAAGAAGGCCTTTACTTGGAGCCTAAGCCCTGGCGCGCGCGCACCACGGCGCGAACTGCTCCATCAAGCATCCACTGGCCTCCAGCCGCGTTTCCGGTTGTAGCACTGGGCGCCCCCAGAGTGGACCCGATAAGCTATCGGCGCGGCCCAGGAGGGGCGGTCAGCGGCGAGTCAGGGCACCTCGGACCGGCTCCCGGCTCCCGGTCCGGCTGCCTGCCAGCGGCCGCTCAGGACAGAAGCGAGATGCCTGCCTAGGCGTTTCTGGTTACAATCACCTCACACACCGGCCTGCATTCCGCCTCCCCAACCCCCATCCTTACCACGAAGTCTGAAGTCACACCTTCTCCCTGGCTGGGAAGCTTTGCCAGGGTGGGGGCGATGAGTGCCGGCCGAGGTTGTTAATCTAAGGAGCTCCAGCAGGTCCGTAAAAAGGAATATTTTCGGTGGCCAGAAAAATCAACATTGAATTAGGTGTGTCACCCGCACCCCCCCGCCCCCGCCCATCCACCAGGAGTTCATTCTCTACTCATTTAGCCGGGACTGCCGTGTGTTCCTGATTATTTTCTGGAAGGGCTGAAACATACAGTTTAACGGACACTGATGTGTTTTCCTTTTATGAAGATGAAGGTCTTACAGGGAAGGAGAAAGCAAATCTTGGTTCACAGGTAGACTGAAACATAATAATAATCATCATATACGTAGCTACCATTTGATGAAAGCTTATGTGTATTAATCCTTCCAAAAAGTCAATGTGGCAGAATGATTATTTTACCCGTTTTGCAGATGAATGACCAGAGGCTTGAAAAGGTGAAGTGACATCCCGGAGTGACATGGTTGTAGGGACATCACCCAGTAGGTCTGTGCTAAAGGTTTGTGGAAAGTCTGAACCCTGTTGATCGAAAGAAAGGAATCACCCCACCCCCTGCACCCGCCACTAGCTGGTGGGCAGGCATGCTTTTTGGTAGAGGGTTGAGCAACGCCAGACTCACTGGACAAGAGGAATTGGAAGATGCGCCTGGCCTATTTTGGCTTTCCATGGGGTCCTCCCTGCCAGGGCAGAGTAAAGTTTAAGGAATTATTTGTGCATAAGAATGACTCTTAACTTGCTCGGGGAGTGAGACTCTGCCGGATTCATTCTGGATAAGATGAAGTCTAGGGCTTTCCCAAACTTCTGTAAGAACCACAACCAATCCATCTGGGTTTCTCTGCAAGCCCAGAGTCCCCAGGATGAAAGCTCAGGCCCCAGTGACCCCTTTCCTCTTCCCTCTCTGCAAGTCTTATTTCTCTGTTTGGTAAGGCCTAGGAGCCAGGTCCTTAGCCATGCCTCTGGGGTCACGCCAGGCTTTGTTGAACCTCCCCCCATCTGGAGAAAAGGGCTGCCCAGCATCCATAGGGCAATTAACCTCATTCACCCTCTCCCTACCAGTTTCCTTAAAATAAATGTGACAAACATGAGCCTAATGATCTGCTGAGGGAAGATCTATATGCCTCAGGTCTGTAACACATGGCTCCCTCCTTCCCCGGGCGGAGCAGGCAGCCCTACTTCAAAGGACAGCCTGGTTAGTGATATTGCAGGGCTTCCTGGCTTTCAGGAAACAAACAAACAAACAACCAAGTTCTTTGGGTCAGGATAACAGCCACAGATAGTAACACTAAACATGATGATGATGATGATGATGATGATGATGATAATGAGGCCAATATTTATCGACCACACGTGTCAGGTTCTGTGCTAAGTGCTTCACATGTGCTAACTCATCTGCTCTTTGCAACAACCCTAGAAGGCAGGCAATACAATTGCCCCATTTTACAACCAATGACTGCTGAAGTCGTGAAGTCAGGTACCCACACTCCTGGAGCTAGTAGGTGGGAGAGCAAGATTTGAACCAAATCCACCAGTCTCTAAATAATAATAGGAGTAAAAAAAATAAATCCTAAAAAATTATCATGTGCACTTACGCACATGATAAAAAATATCAGACAGAAAGAGTATGCAGTGACCTACGCCCTCTACTCCCTTCATTTCCCCTCCCCCCAACCACTAATATCAAAGTTTGTCTTTTGTGTATCTGTTTATATTCTTCATATATGTGTATAAAGGCATATGTTTATAAAAAAGTCTTTTAAATTGCAAATGGAGTTCACAATACAAACTGCTTTGCATTTTGCATTTTTATTATTTGGTTAACTTGATACATTTGCAAAGTATGGTCTTTTCATCAGTAATCTTTGTACATAAAAGGAGATTCTGCCAAACAAAAAGAAGTGGATGTTGGTGGAGCTTGTTCCCTGGGGTTGGTAAAGAGTCAGGTTTTTTTTTTGCTTAGGGTCATTGTAGCAGCTTGAGGACAGAAATGGGGGGCTGGGGCAGCAAGGGGAGGGAGGGACAGGGAGAGAGGGAGAGAGAGAGAGAAAGAGAGAGAGAGAGAGAGAGAGAGAGGATATCGGGAAGTTCAGACATCTCTTACATTCCAATCAGAGATAGCAGATGTCCCAGGAACAAAACATGCTCATCCGCTCTTGGCACGGGAGTGTCACTCAACTTGCAGGAGACTTTCAAAGCCTTAAATGGTCTCTCAGAGACAGGGCAGAGCCATGTTCATTTTCCATTCTGTGCAGAGGGGCAGGCATGCTTTTTGGTAGAGGGTTGAGCAACACCAGACTCACTGGACAACAGGAACTGGGAGATGCGCCTGGCTTATTTTGGCTTCCCACGGGGTCGTCCCTGCCAGGGCAGAGTAAAGTTTCAGGAATTATTTTATGCATTTCACTCCTCACTCCCACTCCCATCCCCAACACTGTCACCACTTAAATTTTTAAATTTTCTCTTTTATTTATTTTGGTTCAAATTACTCAAACCGAGATTTTTTTTCCCAAATGGCGCTGGTGTTGTCCTTCATATAGTTTTTAAACACAGTTTCTTCCTGACAAACCCATGAAGCTCCAGAGTGAAGGCTTCCAGGCAGCCGCCCAAGTGACAGGTGGGAGAGGCCAGTATGGCTGTCCCCAGGGCCTGTGGAACCCGACTGGAGAAGTTGGAGTAGTCAGGACATGAGGCAAAGGCGGCAGCTTGCTGAAGATCCATACTGCCATGTCCCTTGTTCAGAAGAATAACAGCCAAGGATGTTGTCTGCCTCTCTCTGTCTCCTGGTCCCCTAGTTTCCTGTTCTCTAGCAAAAGATAATGACACCTCCCTCACCTTTTTGCCTGGTCTCTCCCTTTTCTCAATTTCTCTAACTCCTATTGTCTCTTCCTCTGCCCTTATGTGAGCCAGCCTGCCTTCCTGCTTGCCTTCCTTCCTTCCTTCCTTCTTTCCTTCCTTCCTCCCTTCTTTTCTCCCTCCATCTCTCTCTCCCTTCCTTCCTTTTTTCCTCTCTCCTTTCCTCCCTTCCTTCATTTCTCCTTCCTTTCCTTCCTCCCTCCCTCCTTTCTTCCCTCCCTCCCTCCCTTCTTTCCTTCCTTCCTCCGCCTCTCCCTGTCTTCCTTCCTTTCCCCTTTCCTTCCTCCCTCCCTTCCTCTCTCCTTTGCTTCCTCCGTCCATTCCTTCATTTTTCCACCTCTTCTCTCTTCCCACTATAGTCATCATTCCCCTTTCTTATTCCTTCATCTTTTCTTTCCTCAGAGCTCTCTTATTTGGGGAGGAAACATTATAATGAGAAATGCTTGCCAAGTCTCTGGGGACTTCCCATCAAGGGTCTGGGGGAACATGGCGCTAACTGAAACAGCGGGTCCCTTTTACAATACTGGAGGGGATGTAAACGGTAACAACCTTCCTGGAGGCACTTTGGCAGTTTGCAGTTTAGTTTACAGGTTCATTTATGGCTGTTTCACTTCTAGAAAACTTTTCTACAGAAATAACACATAAAGAAATGTGGGCAAATATTTACCTGTAAGAATTTTCATAGCAGGGAAATATATAACAAAAAAGTTAAAAACTTAGATGTCCAAAAATAGGAGGTTGGTAAAATTATGTTTTATCTAGAGATGAAATATTATGCAACCATTAAAAATCTTTTTTTTTTTTTTCGAGACAGTCTCGCTGTCACTCAGGCTGGAGTGCAGTGGCATTATCTTGGCTTGCTGCAACCTCCACCTCTTGGGTTCCAGTGATTCTCCTGCTTCAGCCTCCCAAGCAGCTGGGATTACAGGTGACCACCACCACAATCAGCTAATTTGTGTGTGTGGGTGTATTTTTAGTAGAGATGGGGTTTCAGCATGTTGCCCAGGCTGGTCTCAAACTCCTGGGCTCAAACAATCTGCCTACCTCAGCCTCCCAAAGTGCTGGGATTATAGGCATGAACCACTGCGCCCAGCCAAAAATCCTATTTTAAGTAAGAAAAGTAAATTAAAGGTAGTCCTGTATGTATGTTTTGTTGTTGTTGTTGTGTTGTTGTTTTGGTTGTTGTTTTGGTTGTTGTTGTTTTAAGATGGGCTCTTGTTGCCCAGGCTGGAGTACAATGGCGCAGTCTTGGCTCACTGCAACCTCTGCCTCTTGGGTTCAAGTGATTCTCCTGCCTCAGCCTCCCAAGTAGCTGGGATTACAGGTGCCTGTCACCACATTCAGCTTTTGTATTTTTAGTAGAGATGGCATTTTGCCATATTGGCCAGGCTGGTCTCGAACTCCTGAGCTCAAGTGATCCATAGGCCTCGGCCTTCCAAAGTGCTGGGATTACAGGCGTGAGCCACCGTGCCCAGCCTGTATGTATTTTTTTGATTCCATTTTTATAAGTGTTTATCTGCATGTGTGTATTCATACACATTTAAAAGGTGATATATATATATCACCTTTGCATATATATGCACACCACCACACCTGGCTAATTTTTAAATTTTTTGCAGAGACGGGTTCTTTTACATTTTTAAAAAGGATGGAGATATCCAGTTTATTAAGGTTAGTAAGCTGATTTTTTGCAGTCTAGAATGCTTGGTTTTTCTTATGCGTAACAGCCAGCTAGTCCTCCTTCACATTCCTGCAATTATAGCAGGGGCATGGACAATTGAAGAGTGACGTCAAAAGGCTTTTCTGGTAGAGGTGCCAAGTTTTGGGAAGTGCCAAGTTTCAGGAAATGCATGGAAGCAGAAAGGCACAGACATATTCAGGAAATAATGAGTTTCAGACTCTGAGAAAGATAACCGAGTTCATGTAGAAGAGTTAAGGGACATAAATGTGTAGAAATAAAATCAGACAACCTAAGGTGAGAAAAATATCTGAAAGAGCATCAAACTCAAATCTCTGTTCTATGCAGATATCATTTCTGACTCTTCTACGTCTTTAGCATTCTGAAGTAGGGGTCATTCTGATTCAGCATGAAGACTTCCAGGGAAAGACTGTAACTACTCTAGTGGAATCATGGTTTTTTCGTTTGGTTTGTTTTTAAGTAGCATTTCTATTTCTTATTTTCAATTACTTGGGAACAGATAGTAAA
The DNA here is from genome assembly GCF_000001405.40 of Homo sapiens. Classification (NCBI taxonomy): domain Eukaryota; kingdom Metazoa; phylum Chordata; class Mammalia; order Primates; family Hominidae; genus Homo; species Homo sapiens. The sequence continues at coordinate 114,453,943 of NC_000012.12, forward strand.
CACAAAGTTAAGGTGTTCAAATTGGGGAGACATTTCTTTTTCCTAAGGCTATGCCTTAAGAAAAAGAGCAGAAACATAGAAGAGGTAAGGAGAAACTAGAAATGTGGATAGTATTTGAATAATATTGAATAGTGAAAATAAAGGAATTAAATGTTAAAAAAAAAAAGGATGGAGATTAGTTCTCACTGTGTTGCCCAGGCTGGTCTGGAACCCCTGGCCTCAAGCACTCCTCCTGCCTCAGCCTCCCAAAGTGCTAGGATTACAGGCATGAGCCACTGTGCATAGCATCCCTTCCCTCATATTTCTACATTTGAAGCTGGGTGATGAAATTATGGTGTGGTTCATTATAGTGTCCTTTCTACTTCTGCATATGTTTGAAACTTTTCCATAATAAGACATTTACAATGTTTATAATTATGCACAGTTCTTCAGCGATAACAACATCATTCAACGGCATTTCTTCTTTGGGGCTCTTGTTTAAGAGCTTCCCCCAAAGTTTTCTTCCCCGTTGCAGCCATGATTCTAGATTCTAGGGATTCCTAAGCCCGGATGACACCCTGCTAACCTGAGCAGGACCACAGTGGGAGGAGGGGGGCGCCACCCACTCAAACTTTCATGTCTGATGAACTTTCATGTCTGGGAAGACCAACAAAGGCTACCAAGGGGGCAAAGTCTGGAGAAGTCAATTAGGTGGGCTTGCAATAAGAGGTTATTCTGAGAGGCCAGGAGTTAACATAGAAAGTCTTGTCACCAAAGGGAACTAGAAGAAGGATCTTTTAGACCGGGGGGGACATTTGGTTGCTATTATGAATGAACAAACCCAGCAAAGCTGAAACAGGAAAAACGGCAATGTTGAGCATCTCAGTGGGCTAGAGAGAGGCCCAGTGCCCCTGAGGCTAAGTAATCCCAAATGCTTTGAAATCTTCTGATAGTGGGGCCACTGAGAGCCACAGAGCAATGAGAGGGTGGGAGCAGAAGGTCCCCTTACAAAGGGGCTGAGGTTCTAGGCACTGAGCCATTTTGGAGAAAGTTAATTATTGGCCTCTCCTGCCAAAACCTTTAAAGAAATCACCAGTAAATGTTCTTGCCCACTGGCCTGCAGAAAACCTGCATGCTGGCTTTGGAGAGAAGGGAGATGAGGCGGAAATTTTTCACAGCTAGAAATGAAGCCTGTTGGCTTAGCCAATGGAATAGCAGCCTGTAAGTCTCTGAAGAAGGGCCTACCTCTGTCTATGTAGTCAGCTGCTCTGCAGTGCCTGCAACAGAGTAGGCATCCATGACTCCTTGGTGTCTATGAACTAAGGAATTAATTAATATTTGTTGACTTTGTGCAAAATGGCCCACCTTTATTGCAGCATTTCCCAGAGAGTGGTCTACAACTACCTGCTTCCCTGTCAGCTGATCTATTTGCTACAAACACTGATTCCTGGGCCCCACTCCACCCTCATTGAATCAGAACCTCAGGTCTGCAGCATCTACAATGTGAGCAGTCAGCACAGGTCATTCTTATGCCCCCCACAATTACAATACTGCTACAGACACCTTTGCCACTCATTTACTTAATTTTAATTTTAATTTTAATTTTTTTTTTGAGACAAGGTCTTGCTCTGTCACCCAAGCTGGAGTGCAGTGGTGTGATCTTGGCTCACTGCAGTCTCAACCTCCCTGGCTCAAGTGATCCTCTCACCTCAGCCTCCTGAGTAGCTGGGATACAGACACACACTGCCACCCCTGGCTAATTTTTGTATTTTTTATAGAGACAGGGTCTCCCCATGTTGCCCAGGCTGGTCTTGAACACCTGGACTCAAGTGATTTGCACTCATCAGCCTCCCAAAGTGCTGGGATTACAGGTATGAGCCACCACGCCCGGCCTCGACACTTAGTTTTAAAAGATACTGAGACACAGAGGAGACAAGTTGTGCAAAGTGATGTAACAATAAATATTATTTGTACCACTCATTTTGTAATATCACAGGTAAATATTATGCCTACTATTTATTTCAGGTTTATTATGGGTCAGACTCTGCACTGAGAATTGTGTATACATTACCTCATTGCATCCTCAAAACAACTCCTTCGTGGAGACAGTATACCCATTTTGCAGGAGGGGACTTGTTGCATAGATAGGTGAAGTGACTTATGCAAAGCCATGTAACTTTCAATGAAAACAACAGCAGTGACAACAATGACAGCAACAACAGCAACAACAGGTACCATTTATTAAGGGCTTCCTGGAAGTCAAGCACGGTGCTAAATATGGATTTTTTAAAACTGACATTTAATCCATGTAATTTATCTTTACATGGATTCTTTCTCTTTTTTTCTTCAGACAGAGTTTCTCACTCTGTCACTCAGGCTGGAGTATAGTGGTGTGATCTTGGCTCACTGCAACCTCTGCCTCCCAGGTTCAAGCGATTCTCATGCCTCAGTCTCCCAAGTAGCTGGGACTACAAGCGTGTACCACCATTGTATTTTTAGTAGAGACAGGGTTTTGCCATGTTGGCCAGGCTGGTCTCAAACTCCTGGGCTCAAGCAATTTGCCCACCTTAGCCTCCCAAAATACTGGGATTATAGGTATGAGCCACTGCACCCAGCCTTTTTACATGGCTTTTTAAATTTCATTCTCAAAACTATTTTTAATAAAACATATCAATATTGCTTTATTAATTATGAACAAACAGGTCTCGAACAGATGTTTGAGACCAGCCTGGGCAACTTGGGTAAACCCTGTCTCTACAAATGTACCATCTATGTTAACATGGGGTATTAATAAAGGAAACTGGTTGTGTCATTCTCACAACTTTATTAGGTCTGTATATGATTATTCCCATTTTATAAATGAGGAACCTGAAGCCTAGGGAGATTCACTTTCCACGTCTACAGAGTTCAGAAGCAGGAATGCAGGATTTGACCCCAAACCTTCTGAATACCCCAGGAAGTAATGGGGGCTGAGGCTGTTTTCTGGCTATAGCAGAGAACCCTGTAGTCTTTCTCTGATGCAGCCTTTTTTTTTTTTTTTTTTTTTTTGAGACCGTCTCACTCTATCACTCAGGCTGGAGTGCAGTGGTACAATTTTGGCTCACTGCAAGCTCTGCCCCCGGGGTTCAAGCCATTCTCGTGCTTCAGCCTCCCAAGTAGCTGGGACTACAGGTGCATGCCGCCACACCCGTGAAGCCAGATATTTTTAAATGTTAGACTGGCTTTTATTCTAGAAGAATATGGAAATGGGCTCCAAGGTTTCTGAGGAGCAGAGATGATGCGGAACAAAAATTAAGACATTCTGGATATTGGGCTTAAATTTGTGTGGGTTCATCCCTTACTCAGTTTATCCACCTGTTAAATGGAGAGATGGGCTCCAGAGAGTGGTCCAGCAAGGGTTAAATAGGAGGTGATTCGTGGAACCATTAAGGAAAAGAGCAAGGGACCAAGAGTCAAGAAACCTCGGTCGCAATCCCAGAGCTGACTCTAAGTCATTATGTGTCTTGGCCATTTGGTCCCTCTCTCTTGGCCTCAGTTTCCACAACTGCAGGATGATTCTGAGTTCATCTCTGTGTTCCTGAATCCCATTTTTCATGACCTTCCAGTTTAAACTATGAGCTCTTTCCGTTAGCTCAGAAGTTCAGTTCTTACAGAAAACAGAAAATTAAGATTTTGGATAAAAATCCTTCTAAGTGCAAGTGAACTTGGAGAGTTTTCCCAGGTCATTAAAAAGGGAAAATCAGCCTCCCTAAGAAAACAAATTCTCCTCTCACTGTAAGTGTGGGTTATCAATCGGAATTCTGATGACTTTGGGGCTGACAATTTTAACAACCACTTAAGTCTCACCCTGCACCTTTTATCTGAGTGCTACACAAACATTGTTAAACACGCAAGCCAAGGCCAGAGAAAATGGTATCATCTAAGAGGGGAGAAGACCCAGGGAACTGAAGTGTCCACAGTCCCCCTCCTCCCAGTCTTTGCTCCACAGAGCTAATCAATGGCCAGGCTAGGCTTAGCATTAATAAGTCTGGAGTCTTGCACTTTTGACCTAGCTGTTAGATAACAATTCCTTTAGCTCGGCCGTGGGTTATTAAGCACGACGAGTCAATTTGATAAATAGATGACGTTTTATTTATCTAAATTTCTGGGGGAATGGTGTTTATTTTAAAAGAGAGGAATGTAATTTATAAATAATTTATTTGCACGGGATGAGTTGAAACATTGAATCCTCATTTGGGGAAAAGAATCACTTAAAAGGATCCCTTATCCTTTACTCGTTACAAAAAAAAAAATACTGACTCTTGATACCTGGATTTTTCTCATTCTTTTCAGACTCCTCAATGCCTAATTGAACGGGATTTTGATTCGCTGTTCTAATATTTCACATTCAATCTCATGGTTGAAAACACCTTTCTCATTTGCCACAGAGCAGTTGCAATTCTGCAGTGATTTACAGTTTTGCAAAAGTGGAGTCTATTTCCTAATTTAGGATGGGTTAATTAAAGGTATTATGCACGTACAAAATGGAATACGTTCTGACATCTCTGATCTCTCTCTCTCTCTCCATTAAGTAAAAGCAAACAAAAAAACAGGTTACAAACTAGTTTGAATGCATTGTCTTAAAATGTCTGTATGTTTTATTAAAATAACAAATGCATATGCCTTCTGACTCAGGAATTTCATTTCCAGAGATACTTGCAAAATTGCACAATGATATTTCTACATTACAGCATCTTTTGGGATAACATAAGATTGGAAACATTTTAAATGCCCAACAGTAGGAGCCTGATTAAAGAAATCTCGAATTCCCAAAAGTGGGGGTTCACACCTGTAATCCCAGCACTTTGGGATGCCAAGGTGGGAGGATCACTTAATCTCAGGAGTTCAAGACTTCCCTGGGCAACATAGTGAGACCCTCCCTGTTTCTAGAAAAAAAAACAAAAAACAAAAAACAAAAAATTAGCATGTTGTAGTAGCACATGCCTATGGTCCCAGCCACTCAGGAGGCTGATGTGGGAGGATTGCTTGAGCCCAGGAGGTGGAGGCTGCAGTTGAGTCATGATCACACCACTGTACTCCAGCCTGGGTGACAGAACAAGACCCTGATTCCAAAAAACCAAAAAGAAGTCATGGATTAATCTCTACAGTGGAGTGTTATACAGCCATTAAAAGAAGGAAAAGAGGAACCAGCTCTGAGATAAATTAAGAAACAAGCCAAGTTTTAACAGTGGGTCTAGTGTGAGCCAGTGCATATACAAAATGAGACAGATTCCTGAGGAATGAAGACAATGGTGGCTCTGAGCTGGGGAAATGCACTGCTGGGGACAAAGATGGGAGGCAGATTTCTCACTCTTCATGCTACTTTAGCCTTTAAACTACGAACCACGTGAATTCTTCTTATTAAAAATAAGTGAAATTACCTGGGCACTGTGGCTCACAACTGTTAATTCCAGTACTTTGGGAGGCTGAGACAGGTGGATCACTTGAGAGGTCAGGAGTTCAAGACCAACCTGGCCAACATGGTGAAACCCTGTCTCTACTATAATACAATAATTGGCCGGGCACGGTGGCTCACGCCTGTAATCCCAGCACTTTGGGAGGCCGAGGCAGGTGGATCACGAGGTGGGAAGTTCAAGACCAGCCTGGCCAAGATGGTGAAAGCCTGTCTCTACTAAAAACTACAAAAGTTTTCTGGGCTTGGTGGTAGGTGCCTGTAATCCCAGCTACTCAGAAGGCTGAGGCAGGAGAATCGCTTGAACCTGAGCGGTAGAGGTTGCAGTGAGCTGAGATTGCCCTACTGCACTCCAGCCTGGGCGACAGAGTGAGACTCCATCTCAAAAAACAATGAAGAAATAAATCAAAATACAAAAATTAGCTGAGCATGGTGGTGCATGCCTGTAATCCCAGCTACTAGGGAGGCTGAGGCAGGAGAATCACTTGAACCTGGGAGGCGGAGGTTGTAGTGAGCCAAGATCACACCATTGCACTCCAGCCTGGGTGACAGAGTGAGACTCTGTCTCAAAAAAAAAAAAAATCAAAATACAAAAATTAGCCGAGTGTGGTGGTGCATGCCTGTAATCCCAGCTACTAGGGAGGCTGAGGCAGGAGAATCACTTGAACCCAGGAGGCAGAGGTTGCAGCCTGGGTGACAGAGCAAGACTCCACCTCAAAAAAAAAAAAAAAAGTGAAGTTACAAGTAGTCAAAGAATATGAACTTTATGCATAGAAGAATATCTTAAAAGACATACACAGAGTTGGTGATCTCTGGGTGGCTTGGTCTGTGGATGCTATTACACTTCCTCTTTGGTTTGTCCACATTTTCTGCTATTTCTGAAATAAACATAAAGAGTTCTTTTGTAGATTTAAAAAAAAAAAGGAAGAAGGAAGAAAATGACTTTCCCTTCTTTGCCCTCAGTGGTGTGGATTCCTTTATACATGTATTCAATATCTCTGAAGTAGTCGTTGTAAAATGACTGGGGGTGGTGGGAGGTCAGGAAAAGACTAGTAAAAAAGAGGTTTATGGGCATTTGAGGGAGATGAGAAGGACTTCCAGATGCACAAAAGCCAAGCTTCGAGGAAAGGGAGAGAAGCCCTGCACCAGGATGAAGTGAGACGTGCTCCTGAGGTTCATGGTCACCCTCTCCTGGGTCTCCCTGCTGAAGGATCCCAAATGCCCCACACTCATGATGACTGCCCAGTGGGAAAATGGTGGGGAGATGAGAAGCAATCGGGATTCCCTTTCAAGGATGAACAAATTCAGACAATGACCCCTCAAAGGTCACTGAGGATCTGAGAGAGGAGATTACAAGTCTCTCTGCATAGAGAATGCCCTTCCTTTGCAGCAATAATAAGAAGAATATCTAATTGCAACCAAGCACCTAATCCATGCCAGGCACTGGGCAAACCATTCTGTATGCATTATCTTGTTTAACCTCACAGGTTGTTATGGGGATTGAACAAGGAGAATGGCCCCTGCACAGTGGACAACGCTTGCAGCTGACCATGGCTACACTTTACCTGCTGTCTTGTCAGTAGGTTAGATCTAAGAGATAATTGTGGCCTTCTTTAGAGAGGTTCAGTTAGTGCCTGCCTGTATCTGTTCACATTTTCTTTTCCAGCACGCTAGCCTAATTTCTAACTGCCAGCACCTGAAATTCTTTGCCTGAGGAGTGGCACTGGAGTGGGCAAACTCTCCCTGTTTATGGGCAAACTGGAATTGCTGTTTCACCTCCACTCCCAGGACAGCCCTCGAGTGATGACCAATGGAACATGGTATGTAAATACTGCAGCCTTTTGGGTGGGTTAACCCTGGGGTGTGGGTCTACACTGACTTTCACAATTCGCCAGTAGGATTAAGCTCCAATATCCTACAGAGCTCACTTGCTGGACAACTCACCCTGTATTAACTTGCTCCCATCCTGCCTCACTTCCCCACACCACTGCTATATTTCCTGGCATCTCCTCCCAAATAAATTACTTAAAACTTTGTCTTGGCTGAGTGTGTGTGGCTCATGCCTGTAATCTTAGCACTTTGGGAGGCCAAGGTGGGTGGAATACTTGAGGCCAGGAGTTCAAGACCAGCCTGAGCAACATAGTGAAACTGCCCTCCCTTCCCCCAGCACCATCTCTACAACAAGAGAAAAAAATTAGATGAGTGTTGTGGTATGCACCTGTAGTCCCAGCTACTCGGGAGGCAGAGGTGAGAGGATTGCCTGAGCCCAGGAAGTCGAGACTACAGTGAGCCATGTTTGTGCCCCTGCACTCCAGCCTGGGCAACACAGCAAGACCCTGTTTCAAAATAAAACAAAACAAACCTTGTCTTAGGTTGTGCTTCTCGGCACCCAGCCCAAGGCAGCTACTGTAACCCGTCCTATGCCCTCTTTAAAAAGTCTATGACTCAGCCGGGCGCTGTGGCTCACGCCTGTAATCACAGTACTTTGGGATGCCAAGGCTGGTGGATCACTTGAGGCCAGGAGTTTGAGAACAGCCTGCCCAACATGGTAAAACCCCCATCTCTACTGAAAATACAAAAATTAGCCAGGTGTGGTGGCGCACACTTGTAATCCCAGCTACTCAGGAGGCTGAGGCACAAGAATTGCTTGAACCCAGGAGGCGGAGATTGCAGTAAGCAGAGATCCCACCACTGCACTCCAGCCTGGGTGACAGAAAAAGACTCTGTATCAAAAAAAAAAAAAAAAAAAAAAAACAAGGAAAAAAAGAAAGCAAAGGAAAAGAGAGAGAAAAAAAAGTCTGTGACTCTTGTTTGCTTCCTCTTGCGTGATAACTCCCATCCATAGAGCACTTAATGAGTTTCAAATCTCATTCACATCTCTTATCACAATTCAGCTTCCCCTAATCCTGTGGGGCAGATGTGTAGGCATTACCACCCCCCCACTTTTACATATAAGGAAACTGAGGTTCAGAGAGGTGATGGCATTTCTCCCAAGAACACATACAGCCAGGAAAGGGCAGAACCCAAATCCAAGGCTTCCCATTCCACTCCTCCCCTCTGCCCATTCTGCTATTCTGCCTTCCTCTTTTTCATAAGAATATCTGGTTTCTATATACCATTTTATATCTTTTTTGCATAACATCTCATACAAACTTCACAAAAACTCTGTGAGGATATTATTACTATTATTATCATTTACAAGTGAAGAATCCAAGAGTCTTTGAGGTTAAAGCCATTTAGTCTGAGACCATCTGGCTAACAAGAGGCCTTTTGACTTCTTGTCCCGTTCTCATTCTGTAACCTCAGGCTATCTCTCTCCCCCTCTCACTTGCCTATTTTATGGGTCATACAGAAACACCTGTGGACACAGGAGAACTTCCCAGGAGTCCAGAACCTAAACAAATTATTGGTGTTCTTCCAATACCATGGGACAAGACCCTCTAAGGGGCATGGAACACAGTTAGTCCATGTCACTTAGAGGACAGTTTGAACTTAAAAAAAAAATGTCTAAGAGAACTTTGCTGTAACCTTGGTATATTTTATGGCAGGGGATTAGTTACAAGGCTAAGGCCTTAGCTCTTGCTTCTCCAGTATGTCTTGGGGGAGAGAAGGTGATCTTTGGACCTTGGGGAAAGAGATCATTGTAAGGACCAACCATAATAAATTCACAGCAGTGTGAGGGAAGCAAGGTGGGTCTTCCCTGGATTACTTCTCTCAATACCGTGATGTTGACCCCCATAGTGGTGCCTTCCTCAATGTGATGATGAATCATACTGACTCCATTTCCCTTGCCAGCCATTGCTTTAGAAAAGGGCATATAATCCAATTTTGGCCAATGACATATGGAAGTTTTCTGGGAGGAAGGGGGCTATGGTAGCTAGTTTCCAAAGACCCCCTCCACCAATGAATTGGGCTTCCCAATAGTCATGACCTTGTGTTGTCTCCTGGTCTCCAATCTGGGCTAACCCAGTGCTTACTTTTGACTCACAAAATATGATAAGAATGATGTTGTGGAATTTCCAAGGCTAGGTCATAAGATGGCTTGCAGCTCCCAGCTAGATCTCTTGGCATATGTGCTCTGGGGGAAGCCAGTTATCATGTGAGAAGTCTGATTGCCCTGAGGCTGCCATATTGTGAGGAAGCCAAAGTTAGCCACATGGAGAGATTGCATGGACACAGAGAGATGCCTGGCCATCCCCTGGCTGTTCCAGACATCCCAGTTGAGGCACTAGACAAGAAGCCATCCTGCACACCAAGCTCAGTTGCCATTCAAATGATTGCAGTTCCAGCTGTCATCTAACTGCAGCCTCATGAGAGACTCCAAGTGACATCTGTCCTGCTGAACCCACTCAACCCAAAGAATCATGAAAAAGAAACTTCTAGGGAAAGTTTCTTTGTTTCTAAGACAGAGATATGGGGAAAGATGACACCACCCACCCTCCACTTGATTCTTCTGGATGTGTCAGGTCTAGATGCAGCCAGTTTGAGAAAAGGAAATCCAGTTGAAGGCAAGGTCCACATGTTGAGGGTAGCAAAGCAAAAGAAATGGAAAAAAACCTGAGTTCTTGGTGGCACGGTGGCACTACTGAATCAACCAGCCTTGAAACCTACCTTACCTTAGACCTCTTGTTGAGTGAAATCTTGTCTTCACTGTTAGCACCAGGTTGAATCTGGGCTTTTTGTTACTTGAGCCAAAGACTTTCTAACTACAGGCATACCTCAGAGATATTGCAGGTTCGGTTCCAGATCACTGCAATAAATTGAGTCAAATAATTTTTTTGGTTTCTCAGTGCATATAAAAGTTATGTTTATACTATAATATAGTCTATTAAGTGTGCAATAGCATTATGTCTACAAAAACCAAGGTGCATACCCTAATTAAAAATATTCTATTGCTAAAAAATGTTAACAATCGCCTGAACCTTCGGCAGGTTGTAATCTTTTTGCTGGTGGAGGGTCCTGCCTTGATATTGATGGCTGCTGGCTAATCAGGGTGGCAGTGCTGAAGGTTGGGGTGACAATTTTTTAAAATAAGACAATAATAAAGATTACTTCATTGGGTTTTTTTTTTTTTTTTTTTTTTTTTTTTTAGACAGAGTCTCGCTCTGTCGCCCAGGCTGGAGTGCAGTGGTGCGATCTTGGCTCACTGCAAGCATGCCATTCTCCTGCCTCAGCCTCCTGAGTAGCTGGGACTACAGGCGCCTTCCCCCATGCCTGGCTAATTCTTTTTTTTTTTTTTTTGTATTTTTAGTAGAGACGGGGTTTCACCGTGTTAGCCAGGATGGGTCTTGATCTCCTGACCTTGTGATCAGCCCACCTCAGCCTCCCAAAGTGCTGGGATTACAGGCGTGAGCCACCGCGCCCGGCCGACTCTCTTTTTTCACAAAAGATTTTTCTGTAGTATGGTGTTGCAAGCATTTTACCCATAGCAGAACTTTCAAAATTGGAATCAGTCCACTGAAATCCTGTTGTAATTTATCAACTAAATTTATGTAATATTCTAAATCCTTTGTTGTCATTTCAGCAATGCTCACTGCATCTTCCCCAGGAGTATATTCCATCTCAAGAAACCACTTTCTTTGCTCATTCATAAGAAGCAACTCCTCCTCCATTCATGTTTTATCATGAGATTACAGCAATTCAGCCTCATCCTCAGGCTCCACTTCTAACGCTGTTTCTCTTGCTGTTTCCACCACATGTGCAGTGACTGCCTCCTCTGAAATCTTGAATCTCTCAAAGTCATCCAAAAGAGTTGAAATCCATTTCTTCCAAAGTCCTATTAATGTTTACATTTTAACTTTCTCCTATAAATCATGAATGTTCTTAATGGTATCTAGAATAGTGAATCCTTTCCATAACAGCCTAAATCCATCAGAGAAATCACTATCTGTGGGAGCTGTAGACACAACTGAGACAAAACAATATTGAAATTAGGCCAATTAATAACCCTACAAAGCCCCCTAAGTGTACAAATGAAAAGGAGAATCACATGTTTCTTGCTTTAAATCAAAGGCTAGAAATGATTAAGCTTAATGAGGAAGGCATGTGAAAAGCAGAGATGGGCAGAAAGCTAGGCCTCTTGCGCCAAAGTTAGCCACATTGTGAATGCAAAGGAAAATTTCTTGAAGGAAATTTAAAGTGCTACTCCAGTGAACAAATGAACGATAAGAAAGTGAAATAGGCTTATTCCTGATATGGAGGAATTTTGAGTGGTCTGGATAGAAGGCCAAACCAGCTGCAACATTCCCTTCAGCCAAAGCCTAATCCAGAGCCAAGCCCTAACTATGATTCTGTGAAGGTTGAGAGAGGTGAGAAAGCCGCAGAAAAAAAGTTGGCAGCTGGCAGATCTTGGTTCATGAGGTTTAAGAAAAGAAGCCATCTCTATAATGTAAAAATGCTAGGTGAAGCAGCAAGTGCTGATGGAGAAGCTGCAATAAGTTATTCAGAAGATCTAGCTAAGATCAGTGATAAAAGTGGCTACACTGAACAACAGATTTTCAATGTGGGCTGCTCCAGAGATCACTAGATGCAAGGTCTCAGAGCAGCACAATGTATTACCATCATCATCTTGGGGCTTCCCAGAATCTAGGGTCCTCCACAGCACATCAGGACCCCAGGTGCCTCCCCTCCACACACCTTGCTCTTCATCAGGTTGGAGGCAACATTCTCTTTGAAGTTGGTGTGTCTCACCACCTGCTCCCAATTGGTTTGAAATTGAAGTCTTAAAACCTACCAAAGTCTCCTCTTCTCTTCTGTTATATTTAATCTTTCTCCATAAACAGAAGCTCACGTATATTCAGCTCACAGAGGACTGGGGAGAGAGGAGGCTTGGACAAGCTCCTCAGGCTTTGTTTAATGAGAACTAAAGCCAGCTTTCCTGAGTGTACAGCGTCCGAGGCTGATTCAATAAAGTGGATGTGGCATCTGTACAGAGTAGAAATGATGTGGAGATAACTCACCAATCTCTGCTTGCCTTAGTAGGAGAGTGGAAAAACTAAAAATCATTTGAAAATGTTCCAGGTGCTTCACATATGTAAGCAGGAACCTCAGATGCAATTTGAGGATTCTAAAGAACCGAATAGAAGAGGGGGGAAAACCAGGACTGAGTATTCAACTGGCATCCACCAATTCTATTGTGTGTGTTATTATGGCCAGAATCTTTTTGGATTCATTAATGTCTCTGCTGTATCTGTGGTTAAGTATTTTAAAAATAGCCCATGTGTCTGGGATTGGGGGCTCATGCCTGTAATCTCAGCACTTTGGGAGACCAAGGTGGGCAGGTCACTTGAGGTCAGGAGTTCGAGACCAGTCAGGCCAATATGGTGAAACCCCATCTCTACTAAAAATACAAAAATTAGCCAGGCATGGTGGTGGGCACCTGTAATCCCAGCTACTCAGGAGGCTGAGGCATGAGAATCGCTTGAACCTGGGAGGCAGAGGTTGCAGTGAGCCGAGATCGCACCACTGCACTCTAGCCTGGGTGACAGAGCACAGGGAAACGTTTGGACACAGCCATGATTATTTCTTAAGAATAGAATTTTAGAAGCAGAGTGGTAATGGAAGAATATGGAGTGTTTAAATATTGCAAATGCATATATCTATTCATATTATGTTTAAATGTTTGTATTTTTCTTGTAGATTTATTGCTTTATAAATAAAAGCTGTTAATTTATGTTTCTATTTTCCTAACTGTGCTATCTCAATTGCATTTTTATTTTGATAATTTTTAAAGTAAAATTATTGAAAAAATAAATTTTGTCTAAGAATGATAATTTTTAAAAAGCCCATGAGAAAAACTTAAAAATCATAAATTGTATTCTACTTTAAGAAACAGAGACTCTAGGGCCTGCATGGAAGATGTTGGTCAAAGGATACAAAATATCAGGTAGATAGGAGGAAAATCTTCAAGATCTAATGTGTAACATGATGATTACAGTTAATAACAATGCATTGTACTCTTGGAAACTGCTAAGAGAGTAGACTCTCTGTGTTCTCACCACAAACAAATGATAAGTCTACGATGTAACGTATGTGTTAATTAGCTTGATTTAACCATTCCAAAATGTATACGTATTTTTGTGGTTGTTGTTGTTTGAGACACAGTCTCACTCTGTTGCCCAGCTCTGGAGTGCCATGGTGCGATCACTGCTCACTACAGCGTCGACCTCCCAGGCTCAAGTGATCCTCCCACCCCAGCCTCCCAAGTAGCTAGGACTCCACCTGGGTGACGGAGTGAGACTTGATCTCAAAATAAAAAAAAAAAATTGAAAAGACATTTAGAATTACTCTAATAAAATGGCTAGTTCCTGCCCAATCACATATTGGTAAAACCTAGTAATCTCTAAACCCACACAGGCTAATTTAAAAAAAAAAATATATATATATATATATATATATATATATATATATATATATATATATATATAGGCTTTCTCTCAGTAATGAACAGATCCAGCAGGCAGAAAATTAGTAAGGCCATGTTGAACTTAACAACACCATCAATCAACTGGATGCAATTGATATCTATGGACCACTTCACCCAACAATAACAGAATACTCATTTTTTCTCAAGGTCACCTGGAGCATTCACCAAGCTAGATCACATTCTGGGCAATAAACACATCTTAATACATTTAAAAGAATAAGAACCATAGACTATATGCTCTCAGACCACAAGATAATTAAAATGGAAATCAATAACAGAAAGATATCTGGAAAATTCCAAAATACTTAGAGATTAAACAACATGCTTCTAAATCATACATGGATCAAAGAAGAAATTTTAAGAGACACTTAAAATATTTCAACTAAATGAAAATAGAAATACAGCTTATCAAAATTTGTGGGATGCAGCAAAACCGTGCTTAAGGGGGAATTTGTAGCATTGAATGCAGATATGAAAGAAGAAAGATCTAAAATGAATGATCTAAGGTGGAAGCTTAAGAAACTAGGAAAAGAATAGAAAACATGTTCAAATTAAGCAGAAGAAGAGAAATAATAAAAAGTGAAGGATAGGCTGGTTGGATGGTGGCTCATGCCTGTAATCCCAGCACGTTAAGAGGCTGAGACAGGAGGATTGCTTGAGGCCAGGAGTTCAAGACCAGTCTGAACAACATAGCAAGATGCTGCCTCTATTGAGAAAAAGAAGTAGAGAAATCAGTGAAACTGAAAACAGGAAATCAATAGAGAAAATAAATAAAACGTAATGGCATCAGAAGAAGCAAACAAATTCAGAATACACAGCATTATCTATGACTTGTTTCTGCAACAAGGCAATGGTGTAAAGAAAAGGAGGGTTGCTCTAGATGAAAGATAACTAAGGGGTATCTCAACCAAATGTGACTGTGTGAACTTCAGGCCCCAGTTAGAACAAATCAATCATGAAAGACTCTCTTAGACCATCAGGAGAATTTGATTCTAAACTCAACATTAGATGATAATAAGTCAAGGTGGTTCATGCGATATTGCATTGAGGTTATGCAAAAGGCTGCTTATGTTATTTAGAGATGCCCACTAACCTGCTGTAGGGGTGAAATAACACAATGGCTGGGATTTCTTTTAAAATTGTTCAGCAATAATTTTAAATAAAACCAGGGTCTGGTCCTGCCTTACTTCATCTTATTCACCCTACCTGGACATATAAGATCTTGTTTTCATTTAACATTTAAAATATAAATGATATTTAAAATCACAGATTATTGTGCATTAATTTTGTATTTTTAAAAATGTTAAGCCAGTTTCAATGGCTCACACCTGTAATCCCAGGTGGCCTAGGTGAGATCGCTTGAGCCCAGGAGTTTGAGATTAGCCTAGGCAACATGATAAAACCCTATCTCTACTAAAAACACAAAACATTAGCCAGGCATGGTGGCTCACACCCCTAGTCCCAGCTATCCAGGAAGGTGAGGTGGGATAATTGCTTGAGCCCGTGTGGTAGAAGTTGCAGTGACCCATGATCATATCACTGCACTCCAGCCTGAGTGACAGAGCAAGACCCTGTCTCAAAAAAATAAAAATAAAAAAATAAAAAAATTCCATTAAAATACTATTTATCTTGATTACTGAGGTTTTCAGTGCTCCCTTAAATTCTGTGTTAGAAGTAGAGTGCCTCATTCTCCTTACCCTGCTCCTGGCACTGTAGCTAATCCAAGTTGCCTTATTTCTTTCACCCTCACCTTGGACAACCAAAGCCGGCCACTGTTTTCCAGGTAATAACCCACTGTAGGTTTCTTCACCATCTACTCTCACCACATGGACATATTTAACACACTCTTCCACCCTCCAATGAGCCATAAGGAAAGACACATCTCAAATGTAGGACGTGATGGCTTGTGGTTAATTAGGAGTCTCGTCAAAGGGGAACACACTATTTGCAATCCCTGCCTTGATTGACGGGTCCACACTCCCAGCCTGCCTTCAGTTTTGTTAATGTTTTTAACACAGCTTTAAAACCACTGTGACCATTCCAAATGCTTGTCTCCACCATGTACTCTTCAAGTTCTCACTTTCACCCCCTTCTAACTTAATGAAAGTCACCTTCTCCCACCCCCATCCCCAGATGGGTGCCTCATGGATTATCTGGGAGTATTTCTCTGCCTTGTTTTGAGCAGTGAACAGAGACTAGAGGTGAGTCTTTTTCTCACCGTGCACGTACCTGCTGTCCCCTAGCTCTTAGGTGGAAGAATTCTTGTTAGATGCGTAAGGTTCTGTTTCACATGTCCCTGAAACTCTCTTGGAAAATAATAAAATGGCACACTTAGAAGGTCCCTAAAGAATAACTGAATCCTGTGCTGCTTAACTTTTTTATGTGGTGGACGATTAAAGCTCTGTTAAAAGCTAGATGCATCTGGGTTCAAATTCTGAGCATTGTTGCTGTGGGTCTTTAGACAAGTGTCTTAACCTCTCTGAGTTTCTCTTTTATCTGTAAAATAAGGTTAAAAATATTATTGACCTCATAGGGTTATTGGGATAGTGAGATGATGCATGTGGAATGCTTAGCATAATTCTTGAAACTAAGCGTTTAATGCATGTTAGTTGCAATTATTATTTCTGGACTCCCCTGTACCTCTTTGAGAATCTATAGAAAACTATGGAAAGATGTCTCAGAAAAATATACATTACATGTTTACATTCTTTTGCATAAAAAAAAAAAAAACAATTAACCTGGGCACAGTGGCTCACAACTGTAGTCCAAAATTCTTGGGAGGCTGAGTTGGGAGGATCTCTTGAGCCTAGGAGTTTGAGCTGCAGTGAGCTATGATCATGCCAGTACATTCCAGCCTGGGTGACAGAGCAAGACCTTGCCTCTAAATAAATAAATAAATAAGTTTTTAAAATTAATCCAGAGGTTGGGCCAGGCACGGTGTCTCACGTCTGTAATCCCAGCACTTTGGGAGGCTGAGGTGGGCGGATCATGTGAGGTCAGGAATTAGAGACCAGCCTGGCCAACATGATGAAACCTGTCTCTACTAAAAATACAAAAAATAGTCGGATGTGGTGGCACACACCTGTAATCCCAGCTACTCGGGAGGCTGAGGCACGAGAATTGCTTGAACCCAGGAGACAGAGGTTGCAGTGAACTGAGATCATGCCATTCCAATCTAGCCTAGGTGACAGAGGGAGACTCTGCCTCAAAATAAATAAATAAAATAAAATGAGTCCAGAGGTACTTTGTATTATTATTGTAAACATAATTTATGAAAAATAGTAAAAATATATATTAGTATACAGTAAGTCAATTTAATAGACAAGGTATACAGAAGAAAGAAAGCATTCATTTCCTACCTTGTAAGAAAGTGAGGGCTCCCAGCTTCCAGGTTTCCTCCATCAAGGTGGACATCCTGACACTATGGTTTACATTCTTGTAAAACCGAGAGTAGCCACAGAAGATGCACCTATTTATTTTGTTTCCCTTGCCGCAATTATTTCCCTCATTACTACATAAGCTTTCTACATATTTTTAAAATCACTGTTTTGTTCTGATCATGAAATTGTTACATGCTCAATGTATGAATAAGGTGAAAAATAAAGTCTCCCAAATCTGACCCTAGAGATAAACATTGATAGATTGGTTTATATTCTTTCAGAATTTGCTCAGGGCAGATAGTATTGCATACCTGTCTATCAGGCTTGGGGTACATTCTGTCTACACAGAGGTGATTTGGTAGGTGGCTGGAGGTAGAACCTTCCATGGGCCACACACCTGAGCTTGCATGGGAGCATGAGATGGGAGCCTCATGGATTATCTGGGAGCATTTCTCTGCCTTGTTTCCAGCTGTGAACAGAGACAAGAGGGGAGTCTTTTTCTCAATGCCTCCAATAGTCCTTGAATGACCTTGGACAGTCCTTTTAACTTCTCCAAGCCTCATTACCTCATCTGTAAAATGGGGGAACTAGTAATATCTAGTTTGAAAAATTGTTGCAAATATTAAATGAGTTGATGCATGCAAAGCCTTAGCACTGGGTTTCTCCCTGTTGGCACATGGACATTTGGGGCTGGATACTCTGTGATGTGTGGACTGTCCTGTACATTGAAGGATACGTAGCAGCATCCCTGACCTTCATTGATGGGATGCCAGCAGCACCCCCGCCAGCTGTGACAGCCTAAGATGTCTCCAGACATTGTCAAATGTCCCCTGGGGGAGGGAAGGAGGAACAGGATCACCTTCCCCACTGAGAATCACTGTTTTAGCACAATGGAGCATATTAAATACTCAATAAACTCTTCTTAATATTAATATCATCATTATAACAGGGTAGCACATTTACTGAACATAAAACATTCAATGGCTCAATTAATATAAATCCACTGGCATTTTAACTGTCCATGTAGGAGTCCAATTTCTTTTCCTACTCACAGGCCCTTCAGATCAAATACTCAGTTTAACCTCAGATGCAAACTTCTCCATAGAAGAGCTTTTCATTTCTATAATATTAACATACTGGTGAAATACCACATAATGATATGATTCAGCCACTTTTATTTCCTTTCTACCTCCTGAGTCCCCCCGCTTTGCCCACAGGTTAGAGACAAGACGAAGCCTACAATTAAAAAGCTGCTTTTCCTACTATATATACCTAATTTCTCATTCCTCATTTTGCATTAAAGTGTTTTTCCACAGAGCCCTAGGAAGATGGGATTATGTGGGTGCTTGTGTTCATTCATGGGCTCTTTAGGATCTAAACCCCCAGGGATAAACTTGGAAAATGACCGAATTAATCACTTATGATCCGCATTCAGTGCACATTATCATAATATTGATATAATGCACACACTGTTTTTTGCTTATTTCTATATTGAGTGAGGCCCTGCAGCAATTTTGAGGAAATTTGAGACTCGCGCACCTGGCTAAACGCTCTCTCTCTCTCTAAATAATCCAAGGTCTCCCGGTTTGCGAGGATCAGCCTAAAATGAGTTACAGTCGCCAGAACATTTTTAAGTAGGGAAATAAATTAGAGTGGTAATAATCATAACAATTATATAATAAATGTTAAGAATTGTAAGTTCCCCAGCGGTCTTAATAACTTAATTTTGTTGTTGTGGGGGAGGTTGTGGAAATTCCATCATCTGCATCTGGTGACATCATCAGGCTGAAATGAGAGGACAGGTTTCTTAGTTCTGAATGTCACTAAGGTGCTGAATGAGGTGGTACTTTGGCTTTCCCAGACATTTGCTGGGTTTGAATTATTAAAGTCATCATTTGCGAAATTTAGGGCTTCATGAATATTGCCGGGTTGACAAACTCCCTCTACCACCTTCTCTTTGTCTTTCTTTCCCCCTTTCTCTCTCTGTCTCTCAGAGAACTCAGGGCAGCCACAGCTGGACAAATCATCTAGTTCCCCCCTCCCAATAATTCCTCCATATCCAGCTGCAAACTGAAGAAAAATAGGACTGAAAATAGACATGACAGAATGTCCCCAAACAAGAGACCCTTCCAGGAACCATGATGACTAGAAAGCCTGTTAACATTCTCAATCCTGTGTGCTGGGAGGTAGGGTTTGGTCTGGAATCCTTCCATTCAAGACACATGAAAGAAAAAGATTCAACCATGTACAAATCAGACACAATTCATCGTAACGCTAGTCAATGTTTACATGCCAGGTGTTGAATGAAACACTTTGCTTACATTATCTCTTTTTTCCTGCAGTCGGGACTATTTTTAAAGTTTTATAAATTGATACATAATAGATGATATACATATTTTCAGGATACATGTGATAATTTAATGCATTCATATAACTTGTAAAGCTCAAATCAGTGTAACTGGATTATCCATCACCTTAAGCATTCATCTTTTCTTTATGCTATGAACACTCAAATTATTCTCCTCTAGCTATTTTGAAATATACAGTAAATTATTGTGATCTATAGTCATCCTACTGATCTATCAAACACTACATCTTATTTCTCCTATCAAATTGTATATTTTTATCATTAATCAACCTCTCTTTATCTTTTCTTCCCATCACCCTTCCCAGCCTCTGGTAACCACAAATCTACTTTCTATCTTTATGACATCCACTTTTTTAGCTCCCACACGTGAGTGAGAACATGTGGCACATGTGTCCTTCTGTGCGTGGCTTATTTCACTACACATATTGACTTCCAGTCCATCCATGTTGCTGCAAATGACAGAATTTCATTCTTTTTTATGTCTGAATAATATTCCATTGTGTGTGTGTGTGTATATATATATTCCAATGTGAGATCTATATAACTATAGCTCACATTTTCTTTATCCGTTTATTCACTGACGGACACTTGGGTTGCTTCCATGTTTTGGCTATTGTGGACAGTGCTGCAATAAACATGGGAGCGCAGATGCCTCTTCAGTATATTGATTTCCTTTCTTTTGGAGATATGCCTAGAAGTAGAATTGCTGGATCATATGGTAATTCTATTTTTATGGGTTTTGTTTGTTTGTTTGTTTTTGTTTGTTTGTTTTGAGACAGAGTCTCACTCTGTCGCCCAGGCTGGAGTGCAGCAGCATGATCTCGGCTCACTGCAACCTCCGCCTCTTAGGTTCAAGTGATTCTCCTGCCTCAGCCTCCCGAGTAACTGGGATTACAGGCAAATGCCACCATATCCGGCTAATTTTTTTTTTTTTTTTTTTTTTTGAGATGGAGTCTCACTCTGTCACCCAGGCTGGAGTGCAGTGGCACGATCTTGGCTCACTGCAACCTCTGCCTCCCTGGTTCATGCCATTCTCCTGCCTCAGCCTCCTAAGTAGCTGGGACTACAGGTGCCCGCCACCATGCCCGGCTAATTTTTTATATTTTTAGTAGAGACGGGGTTTCACTGTGTTAGCCAGGATGGTCTCGATCTCCTGACCTCGTGATCCACCCGCCTCGGCCTCCCAAAGTGCTCGGATTACAGGCATGAGCCACCGCACTCGGCCCATATCTGGTTAATTTTTGTATTTTCAATAGAGATGGGGATTCGCCATGTTGGCCAGGCTGGTCTTGAACTCCTGACCTCAGGTGATCCACCCACCTCGGCCTCCCAAAGTGCTGGAATTATAGGCATGAGCTGCCATGCCTGGCCTATTTTTAGTTTACTGAATAGCCTCTATTACTGCTTTCCGTAGTGGCTGTACTAATTTACATTCCCACCAACAGTGCATAAGGGTTCACTTTTCTCCTTAACATCTGTTCTTCCTTGTCTTTTTGATAAAAGCCATTTTATCTGGAGTGAGATGATATCTCATTGTGGTTTTGACTGGCATTTCTCTGATGATTAGAGTTACTGAATAGTTTTTCATATACCTGTTTTTTTCTTTTTCTCTCCTTCCTTCCTTCCTTCCTTCCTTCCTTCCTTCCTTCCTTCCTGCTTTCCTCCCTCCCTCCCTCCCTTCCTTTCCCTTTTTCTATTGAGTTGTTTGAACTTCTATGTATTCTGGTTATTTTTATTTTAAATCCAGCTCCTGCAGGATACTCTGGTGATTAATTCCGTGTCAAATATAGGTTGCAAATATTTTCTCCCATTCTGTGGAGTGTCTCTTCAGTTTGTTTATTCTTTACCTTGCTATGCAGATGCCTTTCAGCTTGATGTAATCCCATTTGTCTATTTTTGCCTTGGTTGCCTGTGCTTTTGAGGTCTTGCACAAAAAAAATCTTTGCCCAGACCAATGTCCTGGAGCATTTCCCCAATGTTTTCTCCTAGTAGTTTAAAAGTCTCAGGCCTTATGTTTAAGTTGTTAATCCATTTTGATTTGATGTTTGTATATGGTGAGAGATAGGGCTCTAGTTTCTTCTTTTTACATATGTTTATCCAGGTTTTCCGGCACCATTTATTGAAGAGGCTATCCTTGCCCCATTGTATGTAATTAGCAGCTTTGTTGACAACGAGTTGGCTATAAATGTGTGGATTCATATCTGCGTTCTCTATCTTGTTCCGTTAGTCTATGTGTCTGTTTTTATGTCACTACCATGCTGATTTGGTTACTATAGCTTCGTAGTATATTTTAAAGTCAGGTAGTATGATGCCTCCAGTTTTGCTTCTTTTACTTAGGATTGCTTTGCCTATTCAAGGTCTTTGTGGTTCCATATAAATTTTAGGCTTGTGGGAGGAACTATTATTTTACCCATTTTACAGAGGCAGAGACCAAGGCTCAGAGGGTATGAATCACTTTTTACAACAGCTTTAAACAGGAGAGGAAGAGGTTAAACCCAGATTTGGGTGATTCCAAATTGTTTCTCAACCTCCTAGGAGCTCCAGTATAGTGGGTGGAAGCCCAGACTATGGGCTTGTTTGACGGCTGACTTACCTTCTAACCAGTTCTGTGAACGTAAGTCAGGCACTCCACTTTTCAGTGTGCCCAGCTGTGAATGTGAAAATGATCATAGCCAGGGTCACTACCCATACTGTGTCTTTATGCAATTAGAAGAAGGCACCCTTCCCTCAAGTCACCTTACTTCCACATTGGAATTTTGTCATAATATGCTGTCATTAAAACAAGACACCTTACTGCCATCTTCTGGAAAATGGTTGTATTAAATACAGTCAGCCCCCTGTCTGCGGGTTCTGAATCCAGGGATTCAACCAACTGCAGATGGAAAATACTCAAAACAACAATATAAAAAGTGCCTGTACTGAACACATACAGGCTCTTCTTCCTGTCATTATTTCCTAAACAATATGGTATATCAACTATTTACATAGCATTTACATTGTATTAGGTATTATAAGTATTCTAGAGGTAATTTAAAGCATTAAAAACAATGTGTAGGCTATATGAAAACACAATGCCATTTTATATCAGGGAAGAATCCTCAGATTTCGTTATCTGCAAGGAGTCCTGGAACCAGTACCCCATGGATACTGAGGGGCAGCTATATATATAAATGTGCAAAGGCAAGGATAGAAGGATGTGAATGACATCCCTTTTGTACAGTGCATGACCTGCACAACTGTGCATGGTTGCCCAGACAATTCCTCACTGGAGTATTAGAAAGAGAATTCCTCACTGGAGTATTAGAAAGAGAAATGATTTAGCACTTTGGTAAAAAAAAAAAAAAAATCACACACAGTTTCTCAGCAAATGCTGACTACTCTTTTAAGCTCTGGCTCAAAGAGATTGGATAATGCTGTCTCTTTGAGACAAGTGACAGTCACTGAGAAATCTCACTTGGGGATCGTATTGCTCAGTCAGTGGCAGTCTATTTCTCAACACGTATGTCCCTTGCCCCATGTTTTTGAGCACTGTGGCTATCCTGGACAGCAATTCTCAGCTCCTTTCTTGCCTCCCAGCCAGAAGAAAGGATTGAGAGAACTTTCTGGGGCTGCCTTCAGAAATCACATCTGGCATTTCTTTGATACACTGAATCTCTGACACTCCCTGGACTGCCTTGCAAAATGTGGAGTTTGTTCCATGAGCTTAGCCCCTGGCCCTGGGGTGGGATAAGGACATGGGTCTAGGGTTCCACAAAAACTTGGTTTGAATCCTATTTTTTCTGTTTACTGCTGTGTGACTTTGGGTGAGCAACTTAACCTTGCTGGGTTTAGTTTCTTCACAGGTGAAAAGGAATGACTTGTTAATCTATCTATCACACAGAGCTATGGCCTGAAGACAAAAGGAGAAATGTGTTTAAAGCACTCTCTGAATTAAAGTTATAATCATTAACAACAGGGAACGATAATTCAGATTTTTAATAGGTCATCCATTTCCAGCTGCCAATCTGATCTCTGATGACCTTTCTGTTTGAACCCCAAATCTGAAAGACCTTTATAAATACATTTAAAAATGTATTTGTAGACGGGCACAGTGGTTCATGCCTGTAATCCCAGCACTTTGGGAAGCCAAGGTGGGTGGATCACTTGAGGTCAGGAGTTTGAGACCATTCTAGCCAACATGGTGAAACTCCATCTTTACTAAAAAATACAAAAATTAGCAGGGCATGGTGGTGCATGCCTATAATCCTAGCTACTCAAAAGGCTGAGACAGGAGAATCACTTGATCTCAGGAGGCAAAGGTTGCAGTGAGCTGAGATCACAACACTGCACTCCAGCCTGGGCGACAGAGCGAGACTCTGTCTCAAAAACAAAACAAAACAAAACAAAAAACAAACAAACAAACAAACAAAAAAAGTATTTGTATGAAAAACTAAAAGTCTAATCATGTTTACTTCTGCATTGAAGGCATCACAGAAAATTAGATGGATCCCAACTTCTGTGGTACACAGTTGCTTCACTCAGGAAGTGTTTTACCCTCACAGATGTTTCTTCTCCAAAAACAAATACCCTAGAGATACCAAAGGCTATGAATGGGGAACCAACCAGCATCGTTTCCTCTCCACGGTTCTCAGGCTGCAGCACCCATTCCTCTAACCACTGTGTGTCTTTTTTTTCCTGGAATTTTAGGCAGCATCAGGACATTCCCTGTTTCCCAGTTTCTCGTCTTATGTTTTCTGTCTGCCTCATCCCCCGTGCCTGGCTCTGAACCTCCAGTGGCTTCTTTCTCAGCCTAAGGATCTGTGGCTTATTGAAAACGCTCTGGTACACAGAGTACATGCCTGGGTTGTTACTGGCTAAAAAACAGCTGTTTTTGGATGGCAGTGTAGTTAGTTCATTCTGGGGGATATGAGCCGGGCAAGGAAGAAGCTGCTCTGAAGGGCAATTCGAGGTACAGAAATGCAGATCCCAAGGCGGCTTCTTCTAGAGCAGGTGGCATTCCCTCTCCAAATCCATTCACACTTCCATTGTCCTCAAATGTTCTTAAATGCAAATGCAGTGAAAATTTCACAGACATGTATTGTGCAAGAAGGGGATCTTTGGAGGAAACTTGCCTGATCTCTGAAGTCCACCATTCAGCCGCTGTATACAAATTACTTCCCCTCTCTTGGCCTCAGTTTCTTCATTTGTAAAATAGGAATGAAAGATACTTCCTACCTCCTGGGTCTGTTGTGAAGATTAAAAGAGATAATGCTTTAAAAACGACTGGCAAAGTGTCTGACTTGGGGCAAACACTCACTAAAGCTTAACCATTATTACAAGCCTTTTAATCAAATAGAGGCTTTGTAGGGGAAACCTACTCTTAAACCAAGAAGAATTTTGGAAAACTGATTTATTTAACATATTCTGGATGTCTCTGGCTGGTCTTTTCCATTAAAAAAAAAAAAAATCTGCTAAGGAGGCTACAGTCTCAGCACAGCACAGCTTGTCCCAGGCCACACAGTAAGTTTGATTTGGGCTCCCAGGAACAAAATCCAGGCCCCTGACCTCACGTCAGATGGCCGAGCCTCCCTGCTCTCAATCACAGCCAGAAATGTCACAGTGAACGGAGTCACATTTTAGGGGAGGAAAATAAGATTTCTCTCTTGCCTTGATCTGACCCGGGGATTCCAATCAGAAAACAAGCTCAGCGCCCTTAAAATCTCCTCTGTCTCCTTCTCTTCATTTCCTAAATGCGTGTTCCTCTCAGTGATACCCAAACCCCCAAATGTTTCCCAGCCAAGACTTGGACTTTGAGGGCCCCTTTCAGGTGCCCTGGCTAAGAGGGCAGGGACCAGAATGAGGCTTTGCATGGGCCAATAAGATGGTGAAAATATCTCGGTAATCAAGACAAATAATATTTTAATGCAGTATATTTAAAACGCCAAAAATGAATACAAAAAGAATCCCACGATGAACAAAACGTAAAAATTTTACATTAAGAAAAAATCAATAACCAGGATAGCGCCCTCTTACCTGCAGCCCACGATGTTACTAAATAAAATGAGATTTAATTCTGCTCCCTTAGCCTTATTCCTTTTGAATTTCCTGTAAGGGCCACATTCACAAATTTCCACCTCCCCTCCCTGGGCGTCCCCTTCCCCACAGAGGTGAGCTGGGGTGAGAAGCACAGAAGCTGTTGGGAAGGCGAAGGCCAGCGGAAGAGAACTCGTGCGGGACTTTTCAATTTTTCATCTTGTTTCTAACTCCATCTAGCCCGTCCTCCTTAATCAATAAAACAAGAATTAGGTCTCAGATCCAAGAGTCGCTTTCTGTCTTCCAGTTTATGACTTTGGCCACCTCGCAGTCTTTTAGGGTCGCCGGACCGGCTTCCTGGAATACCTGAGGTCGCAGATTCAGGTAGTAAACAGATGTGGGGTCCACCCTCCGCCAAATGGGCGGGGCAAGTTCAACATCCCGCCTCCCCGACCTTAAGTGCGCAGGGCGCCTGGTGCTCGCTTGCCGAAAACGTTAAACATTTTTCTTTGATCCCGCTCTTTTTTTGGGGGGAAAAATGTCTGGGGAAGAGGGAAGTAGTGGGGGAGTGAGGTGCCTGCCCAAGCGAAATTTTGATGCCCGCCTGCCTCTGGCTCCAGCTCCGCCCTCACGGAAGGGGGAGAACTTCGAATTCCAGAACCGGAATCCTTGCCTAATTTTTTTTTTTTTTTTTTTTTGAAATTGATCGATTTTATCCGGGAGCTTCAAATCGAAACCAGGAGAGAGGCTTTGAAATGTCAAAGAAAAGCTACGAAAGAAAAAAGGGGTGGGGTGAGGAGGAGGAGGAGGAAGGGGAGGGAGATTAAAAAAATAATAATAAGGCGGGGAGGCAGGCAGAGGTTTTCTTTCGAAGTGTAATCGCGGCGCTGCGTACCTTTGTAAGGGTCCTTAACCTTTTCACCCTTTTGGTGGTGGCGGTGGTGGGCTCCTCGTAGCTCTTTGAAAATCTAATGGGAGCTATGGACCGTCTGCCTGGAAAAATGCCCTTTAGGTACATGCTTGGCGGGAGCCGGGAGTGAAACCGTTTTTTGCGCAACTTGGGAAAGTTTTTGCAATATTCTCTGCTCAGCCATTTGAGTTGGAATGGAACCGTTCCCAATTTTAATTTTTGAAGAGACAGTTTTGCCTGGAGTAATCTAAACCCATTTTGGCGGGGAGGGGAGGGCGAGGGGAATTTCAAAATTTATGCCTTCTTCACCTTCTGGAGAAGGCAAGATCCGGCAGGCGACGCTGATTAGCTGGGGGTCTCCGATGCGACCCCGGACTCGGAGCAGGAAATCCTGGGTGCTCCTGAAGCTCCGCCTGCCCCGGGTTCCAGCGAGAGCACCTCGTCACACTCGGGGCGCTGTCCCCCAGTCCTTTTCCTTCTGGACTCCAGGACCTGAGGCTCCTGCAGCGGAGAGCTGGGGAAGGGGGATGAGTTCAAAACTATCTCCCTGTCCTTCCCTTTGAGATAAGGCATCAACCTGGGAAGAGTCCCGACTGGTGCAGGGAGCTGCCTGTTCAGGAAGCCCGGGAGATGCAGATTCGATTGATTTCAGAGAGCTTCCAGTCTTTTTCCTGCCCTGGTGCTAAGAGGATCGAAATACATTTTTTAGGATTCATGGGAAACCTAGTTCTCATTATTAAGAGGCTGTTTTGAAGCCCCTCTGATGGCAAGGAGCCCTGGCGCTTGGAGCGAGAAAGTGGGTGCAGGTCTCTCCAAAGAGAGCTGAGCTCATTCTGCAGCTCCCTTTCCAGCAGTGGTTCAGGGCTGGCGCTGCAGAGGGAGGAAGGCAAAGTGGGCACGAAAGGGCTCTGAGGTCACTGCCGGCAGCTGTCCCCAGTGGCCAGTTATGGGGGGGAAGGCACAGAGAGGCTTGTGGGCTGAGGAAAGATGGAGGGAACATCAGAGAGAGATGTACAGAGAGATAAAAAGAGAGAGAGGAGCGTCAAGGAAAGAGACAGCTTGAGGAAGAGATGCATACAGGAAAACAAAGCACAGTGAGATATTGAAACAGACACGGATAGAAGCAGCGGGAGAGCAATAGACAAGAGACACACAGAGCAATGCAGAGAGAGACACAGGTGGGAATTGCAGCATCCTGGGACTAGAGGGTGCATCACCCACAGCCGGGTGATCCCGTGTGGCCAAGCTGCAGTAAGGTGACAGAAATCTCAGTTTCTGTGTGCCCTGAACATGTGAGTACCAATGATGGGGCGAAGTGGCTCCTGCCAACTCTTCTGCCTTTAGGGGAGGGGCACAGTCAGAAGAGAGTCAGGGCAGAATCCTTTAGAGCACAGGGACCCTGTTAACCAGGACTAAGAGTGGCACTGCCCAACATGGCTGGACCCATGTGCATGCCCCCAGAGCCCGTCACTGTCTGCAAATTTTGCCGTGGGTGCTTTCCAACACATACAGTGTATCCACTCTCTGAGGCCTTAGCCATGCTCAGCTCCTGCCATTACCTTTTCCTCTGGGAGCAAATTCTGCAAGAAACTCAATCTGCTGTGTGCAGAATTATGGGTTATTCTTGGCTCCAGCCTTACCCTCACCCTTGGTGCAAACACAGACATCCACACAGAGCAGACCAGGCTTTGCAGGAGTGCCATGGGGTTTGGAGTTATGCTGGGGAAACTGACCTCTTGTTTCTCCCTCTCTGGGGCTGGAAACCTCCCAGCACCAAGGAGGAAAAACAAAAGTATTCAGAAGCAGATTTGAGGGAAACTCACCTCATTGTTCTCTGGTTTCCCCCAAAGATACGGCTTGTCAGGCACCCCTGAAAAGGTCTCCCTGATTCCCTTCCCAGGCCAGAGTACAGCTGGTGTTGTTGAGGTGATCCCTGCATACACTTGAAGCTCCTTGCGACCTCCCTAAAATGATATGCAATATTGTATATGTCTACACCTTTGCCTCTCTATATCTGTGTATGTCTATCTCTGTCTCTTTGTCTCTGTCTCTCTGTCTCTGTCTGTCTGTGTGTATGTGTCTGTGTATTTTGGATACGGGGCCCAGCTTCCATCAGGTTATCCAAGAGCTCCGTGACTCCAAAGGGATTCTGAACTTCCGGGCCAGGAGGTTAAGGATATTGGAGAACAAACGGTACCCATATTCACCAGGATGTGTAGAAGAACCTTAATGGCAACACTGTTGCTAATAGCCCTACAAGTGAAACAATCTAAGCAACCATCATCCACAGTGAAATAGATAAATACATTGTGGCAAATTCAGTGAGAAGAGTAGGGCACTGCAGTGAAAAATGAATGAGCTACAACCTCTTGGAAACAAGTGGATGAATCTCACAAGCATAACATTGAGTGAAAGAAGTGATACACAAAAGAGTCGCTTCATACTGCTGCCTGATTTTACACCTGAGGAATCTTTTTCAACTTGAACTGTGGTGTGTGTCATCTTTTCAAGCTTCTGGGGGCTCAACTCTAAACTGTTTTGTTAGCAGTGGTCTTGGCATGATCCCCAAGAGTTTATAATGAAGGACCTGCCCCCTTTATAGTGCTTAAGAAGGAAGGAGCAGAAAAAAAAAGAATTAAATGGGGCAATGTGCCCTGGGTGGTAACTTAACTTGGCCAGGGACAGTACAGATGGAGGGGTAAAGCAGCTCTGGAACTTGGAAAATAATTATTTTCCAGCCTGTATTATTGTCCCTGGGAGCACATTAAGGTTTGAAACCCAATCCAACCATTCCAAGAAGGATATTTAAAAGTTGGCTCTACCATCACTCTACTCTTCCTTTTAAAGCTAATTTTTAAAAAACAAAACAAAACAAAAAAAAGTCTTACAGTCCCCCACTGCCTCCAGATTCTTTAAAAAGCCCACAATATGATTATCTGGGCAGCGTTACTGATCACAACTTGCCCAGAGAGGTTACTCTAATAATCATTTGAATTAAAACTTTGTTTTCAATCTCTATACCAAATAGCTATGTATATATTTCCCTGTTTTGTCCCTTGTTAAATTCCTCAGATGCAGGAGCCAAAGGAAGCCTCATGCAGAACCAAATTATCTGTGTTCTACATGTTTAGTTTTTAAGAATAAAACAAAACCAAACCCAAAGGTTGCAGACCTCCTGACTGTACTTTTATTTTCTGATCGGACGGAACAGGCCACAGCCATGCATGGGGGAAGTGAACCATGCCTGGGAGAGGGAGATTTCTTTTCTGACCTGAGCTGTCCAGGGAAAGCACTCATCTTGTCCCCTAATCCAGGCCACTCGGGAATCCTCATCATCCACGTTTGCCCCTTCTGAAGAGGCTGGAGGTTCTGGCAGAGAGTGGGCTCTGGCTGAGAAGTTGCCTAGTTTGAAAGTAATTCAGTTCAGTATTAAAAAAAAAAAAAACATTTCTTAACAGCTTAGGTTACTGCATGTATTTGCCTAAGCCACTTTGTTTTCCATGAACTCAATAAATATTTATTTTGAACATTCATTGTCTGCCACTCGGTGGGCTGGAACTAGAGATAGAGAAGTAAGCATGATGAATATAATCCCTGCCTCGGGAGTTAGCCATTCTGGAGGAGAAACAGACAGTAAGCAAGTTAAAATATATATATTATGTAAATATATTATATATGTCTTATTTATTTATATAAAATAGATATTTCTTATTTATATATAAATATATTTTAGTTATATAAAATATATTTCTTATTTATTTATATAAAATATATTATATATTTCTTTTTTTTTTAAATTTTGTTAGTATTTATTGATCATTTTTGGGTGTTTCTCCGAGAGGGGGATTTGGCAGGGTCATAGGACAATAGTGGAGGGAAGGTCAGCAGATAAACATGTGAACAAAGGTCTCTGGTTTTCCCAGGCAGAGGACCCTGCGGCCTTCCGCAGTGTTTGTGTCCCTGGGTACTTGAGATTACGGAGTGGTGATGACTCTTAACGAGTATGCTGCCTTCAAGCATCTGTTTAACTAAGCACATCTTGCTCCGCCCTTAATCCATTTAACCCTGAGTGGACACAGCACATGTTTCAGAGAGCACGGGGTTGGGGGTAAGGTTATAGATTAACAGCATCCCAAGGCAGAAAAATTTTTCTTAGTACAGAACAAAATGGAGTCTCCTATGTCTACTCCTTTCTACACAGACACAGTAACAATCTGATCTCTCTTTCTTTTCCCCACCTTTTCCTCTTTTCTGTTCCACAAAACCGCCATTGTCATCATGGCCCGTTCTCAATGAGCTGTTGGGTACACCTCCCAGATGGGGTGGCGGCCGGGCAGAGGGGCTCCTCACTTCCCAGACTTGGCGGCCGGGCAGAGGGGCCCCCACCCCCCAGACGGGGCTGCCGGGCGGGGGCGCCCCCCACATCCCAGACAGGGCGGCCAGGCGGAGACGCTCCTCACTTCCCAGACGGGGCGGCTGCAGGACAGAGGGGCTCCTCACTTCTCAGACGGGGCGGCCGGGCAGAGGCGCCCCTCACCTCCCAGACGGGGTCGTGGCGGGGCAGAGACGCTCCTCACCTCCCAGACGGGGCGGCCGGGCAGAGACGCTCCTCACTTCTTAGACGGGATGACAGCCGGGAAGAGGCGCTCCTCACTTCCCAGACTGGGCGGCGGGGCAGAGGTGCTCCCCACATCCCAGACGATGGGGCAGCCAGGCAGAGATGCTCCTCACTTCCTAGACGGGGTGGCGGCCGGGCAGAGGCTGCAATCTCAGCACTTTGGGAGGCCAAGGCAGGCGGCCGGAAGGTGGGGGTTGTAGCAAGCCGAGATCAGGCCACTACACTCCAGCCTGGGCAACATTGAGCACTGAGTGAGCGAGACTCCGTCTGCAATCCCGGCACCTCGGGAGGCCGAGGCGGGCAGATCACTCGGGGTCAGGAGCTGGAGACCAGCCCGGCCAACAGGGCGAAACCCCGTCTCCACCAAAAAATACAAAAACCAGTCAGGCGTGGTGGGCCGCGCCTGCAATCCCAGGCACTGGGCAGGCTGAGGCAGGAGAATCAGGCAGGGAGGTTGCAGTGAGCCGAGATCGTGGCAGTACAGTCCAGCCTCGGCAACAGAGGGAGACTGTGGAAAGCAGGAGACTGAGACGAGGGAGAGGGGCAGACCGTGGAAAGCGGGAGACTGAGACGACAGAGACGAGAGGGAGAGGGAGAGGGAGAGGCTTCTTATTTATTTATATAAATATATTATATATGTCTTATTTATATAAAAATATACTATTTCTTATTAATTTATAGAAAATATATTCTATATTTCTTGTTTATATACATATATTTTATATTTCTTATTTATTTATATAAATATATTATATATTTATTTATATAAAATATATATAGTATAAAGTAAATGTATGTGGGTTTATATATAATTTTAGAAATCATTAAGTACTATGCAAAAAAAAAAGTCATGTGAGAAAGAATTTTGATGGATCAGGATATCTTTTAAATAAAATAAGGTCAGAGAAGTCTTTAGCCTCCCTAAAGAAGTGACTTTTCATAAGACAGGTTTATCAGGGTAATTTACATACATTAAAATTCTCCCTTGATAATGATATAGTTCAAGGAGTTCTGATGAATGTGTCTTATTGTATAACTACCACCAAATCAAAGTACAGAATATTTTCCTGCCCCCAAAGTCCCTTTGAATCTTTTTACAGCCTGTCCATTTGCCCCCCACCACCAAGCCCCCAGAGCCTCCTGAAACCACTGATCTGTTTCCTGTCCTTTAGTTTTGCTTTTTCTGGAAAGTGGTTAAAAGGGAAACATACAGTATGCAGCCTCCCGTGCCTGGCTTTTTTCACTTAGCCCAGTGTGGTTGAGATCTATCCATGTTCTTGCAAGTATCACTGGCCTGTTCCTTTCTGTGGCTGAATAGTATGGGTGGTATGGATGATGAACCACAGTTCCTTAGCCCATCCCTCAGTTGATGGACACTTGAGCTGTTTCCTGTTTTTAGCTCTTATGTATGAAGCTGCTGTAAACACTTATGCACGTGTCTTTAGGTAGATAAGGGTTGGCCATTTTCTTGGGTAAATACATAGGAGTGGAATTGCTGGCTTATATGTGTGCATGACTCTATGTATAGTTTTATTAGAAACTGCCAAACTATTTTCCAAAGTGGTTCTTCCATTTTGCATTCCCACCAGCTCCACACCCTTGTCAATACTTAGTATTGTCAACCTTTTTTATTTTAGCCATCTTAGTATATACGTAGTGCATTTCCCTGATGACTGACGATGTTGAGTATGTTTTTGTGAATGTATTGGCTATTACATAAAATATAATTTTTATGCTATGTTTACAACATATAATTATCAATTATTTACATGTTTATACTTTATAACATATATGTCATATAAAACATATTTTAATTAAAATTCAATAATGATAAGAAGGTACCATGATAGAAAGAGGCAGGGAAGACTGTTTCAGGCAGAGGGAACACTGTTCCAGGTAGAGGGAACAGCAATGGTGAAGGCCCTGAGGTGGAGCCAGGTAGGGATGATAGAGGAGCAGAAAGTCCAGTAAAGGTGCATCCTGGTGAGGGAGGATGATATGGGAGGGGGTGGTAGGTAGAGCCAGTGCAGGGCTGCATATCAAACAAAGGAGAAAACAGAGCCCTTTAGGTGCTATTGTTGCATAAGAATCTACCCCAAGACTTTGCAGTTTCCAATAACAAATCTTTTATGCTCACAGGTTCTAAGAGTCAAGAATTTAGACTGGGCACCATAAAGGTGGATTACTGCTGCTCTATAGTGTCTGAGATCTGAGCTGGAAAGATTCAAATGCCTGGAGGTGACTTGGTGACTAGTGCTGGAATCTTCTGAAAGTTTCTTTTCTCATGTATCTATTGCCTGTATTGGAACCACTTGGAGGCTGGGCTCACCTGGGATTGTCTACAGAGCATGTACATTTGGCCTTCCCATGCAGCTTGGCTTTTTCACAACATGGTGGCCCCAGGGGTATCAGCCTTTCTCCATGAAGGCTTAAGGATGCAAGCAGAGGTGCTCTAGGGAACAAAGCTGATGCTGCAATGACTTTTATGGCCCAACCTTGGAAGTCATAAAACATCATTTATGCCCCATTCCACTGGTAGAAACATTCACAAACCTGCCCAAGCAGAGGGAAGCTAGACTTTCCACGTGGCACGCAGGGTCATGCTGAAGAAGAAGATGTAGAATGGAAAATATCGCTGTGGCAGTCTGGAAAATAGAATCTGCCACAGAGTAAAACCTGAAAGTGATACAGCTTGTTCTGCTCCACAAATGCTTCTGAGGGGTGATGAATAAGCATGTGGATGAATAAGACTCAGTCCTTGAACTTGAGGAATTCCCAAGGCAAATGGGGGAGACGGATATGTAAATAAAAACCATACTGTACATACTTCTACAGCATGTATCATATTAGGCTACAAAGTCCCCAGGAAGCAATCCATATTGCCTGGGAGGTGGATGAGGGGCTTGGGCTGGGGAATATGTAAGGGTTTACCATTGGGCAAGGACAGATGTAGTGGAAAGAAGAGCATGATCAAATAGTGATTGTTCAGGCAGAAGAGGAGGTTGCATATGAGGCTGAAAAGGCAGGCTGAGCCTATTTAGAAGGGCTTCTAAATAGAGGCTGGGGAGTTGGACTAAATCGTACAGGCAATGGCAAACCATTGAGAGATTAAGCGCTGTGATCAGATGCATGCTGTGAAAAGAACACTTGGGGAGCTAGAATGGTGGGCAGGTTGACCACTGACGAGGGATACGCTGAAAGTCCAGAAGCCAAGAGGGAGGTTTATTCAGCAGTCCAATGAAGAAGCGACAAGCATGCAATTGACACCAAGGTTAGAGAGAATCAGGAAGAGTTAACAGTGTCTCAGCAGTGAGTTCAGCAGGGTTCTTCAAGAGTGAGGAGGAATTCAGGGGAAGGAGAATGCTCCTCCCCTGGGCAGCTGTGTACCTTGTTGGTCTCAGCTCTGGCTGTAAACTCAAATCATCTGGAAAGCTTGAGCCTCATCCCAAGGCAGCTAAACCAAAATCTTTGGGTTGGACACCAGGCATGGGTATTTTTTAAAAAGCTCTCCTGCAGATTCTCATGCACAACTGAGGTTGGAGACTGCTGGGATAAATGATGCATTTCGAAAGACTCCACAGAGACCTTAGAGAATGCTGGTTTGGGCAGAAAGAGGAAAGAGATAAGTGATTTTGATTTTGGACATGTTGGGCTCATGATAACAAGGATTTGAACCTTTCTCTGGGAGACAACATAGTTTAATAAAAGTTAGTTAATCCATAAAAAGAGATGAAATCACTTCTTCATAGCAGTGTTACAAAGAGGATGCATTGTGCTTGAAAGCCACAGAAAAGATTTATTCAGTCTTCACTATCCAGGCACAGTGCTTCAGGCATTATATCCATCCCCACAGCAACCTTAGAAGATAGGCGTAGTTCTTGTGATGTCCATTTTGCAGAGGAGGAAACTGAAACTCAAAAAGACCAAGTAACTCACCCAAGTTTACACAGAAAAGGAATACAGTGGCAGAGGCCAGAGGCAAACCCAGGCAGTCTGATCTCAGACGTGGATCAAGGAGTCTCTGTGGTATAATGCATCTTAGCACCCCTTCATGTTTGCATAAAATGAATTGATACCACGATGACTGCTGTATTATTAGCACTGTAAAAATTACTGTCCACGTTAAATCCAGTTTTGCTATTTCCACTGCTTACATTACAAAGAGTGACCACACTCATTCTGTGCCGTTACGGTTCTCTCCACAAGCTCTCGTAAACCATCACCGTTTCCTTTTCATTTACCTGGTCCTCCGGGCCCAAAGGCCTCTGGGAATTTAACAAAGCCTCCACGGCGTATCATAAAACAAAACCAAATGCTCTCTTCTCCCGCTGCACCCCCTTTCCCTGAGTATCTGTCAAAGCCAGTGGGGAAATAGAAACCAGAATCTCCAAACAATACACTTCCCCACAGATAATAAATAAAATCTCCAAAGAAGGAGGGAAAAAGAGCGAGGAGTCCCACAAAGGCTAGGGGGTAGGGGCGGCTTGGGTGCACCGTTGCACATTCTGCAATG
The DNA here is from genome assembly GCF_000001405.40 of Homo sapiens. Taxonomy (NCBI): domain Eukaryota; kingdom Metazoa; phylum Chordata; class Mammalia; order Primates; family Hominidae; genus Homo; species Homo sapiens. Next base: position 114,489,600 of record NC_000012.12, read on the forward strand.
AGCCAAGCAGCTACCAGCAGACCCGGGGTAAGGAACCAATTGAGATAAAAAAATGGATGTCCATATTACATATGCCGTGTGCACTTAAGAGTGCGGATGCCAACAGGGAATGCAATCCAGATCACCCCCTTTGCTGTTTTGCACACAGATAAATACACATGTTGCCTCGTGTGGAGCAGATGCTCAGTGAATTCCTATGCAATGCATCAAAGTACCAATATTCATTTGCGAATTTTCCAAATACACATGTTTACGGGCAATCTTTTCTCTCCTCTCACAAATATGGGTCCAACAAGAGCTTTTAAAAAATCTTTTGTATTAGGCCAGGCACAGTACTTCATACCTGTAATCCCAGCACTTTAGGAGGCCAAGGCAGGAGGATTGCTTGAGGCCAGGAGTTCAAGACCAGCCTGGCTAACATAGATAGGCCCCCATCGCTACAAAACAGAAAAACTTAGCCAGGCCTGGTGGTGTGCATCTGTGGTCCCAGCTACTCAGGAGGCTGAGGTGGAGGATTCCTTTAGCCCAGGAGTTGGAGGCTGCAGTGACCTATGATTGTGCCACTGGACTCCAGCCTGGGCAACAGAGCAAGACCCTGTCTTTAAAAAAATGTTTTTTTGTGTGTGTTTTTTGTTTGTTTGTTTGTTTTTTGAGACATAGTCTCACTCTGTTGACCAGGCTGGAGTGCAATGGCACAATCTCAGCATACTGCAACCTCCTCCTGGGTTCAAACGATTCTCCTAGCTCAGCCTCCCAAGTAGCTGGGATTACAGGCACCTACCACACCCGGCTAAATTTTTTTTATTTTTAATAGAGACAGTGTTTTGCTATGTTGGCCAGGCTGGTCTCAAACTCCTGACCTCGTGATCCACCTGCCTCAGCCTCCCAAAGTGCTGGGATTACAGGTGTGAGCCACCGTGCCTGGTCAAAAAAGTTTTTAATAATTTTTTTTGAAAATAAAGATAAACCATTTGCTGATTGCATACGTGCATTGAAGCTTTCTTATACAGTGCACCTGGAGAAAGTGCCAGGACGTAATGACACAAATTGATGACTAGGGACCCTTCTAGGGACTGGGGAGCGGGGGGAGGGTGGGGTGGGAGGAAGAGAGATTAGAGTTTTAGTTTACATTTCTTTGATTTTTATACTGATAATACTTTTATAGGGGGCAGGTTTTGACTTCTTTTAATTCAAATAAATTTTGTGTTTCTCCAAACTCTGTACAAGCTACATGATGACTTTTAGCTGATGGAGGCTTATTACATATCCAGTTTTAGTCCTAGTCTTGGGCCAGAAGAGCCTTCCCTGAATGCCAGTCTTCAGAGGTCCCACTCTATCTCACTTCCAGCCGCATCCTTCCTATTGAACAAGGAGACTCTTGGGCCAATGGACTAGCCTTCTCAGAGACCACTCTCCTCCTCTGGGCCATGTAGCTGGCACCTACTCAATACTATGTAGATGCGTACACTGGGCTGTTCGTGTGGAACATGTGTGGGATCTATATCTCAGGTGTGCTATGAGCTCTTGGAAATGAAAATCTCCCTGAAACATCATCACTGCCCCTTCTTCTGGGTCTCCTTCTCTAGTTGGAGGAGAAGCCTGGATTTTGTTTTTCAGTGAAGAGGGCATTATAGTTGGTCATTGTCTAAACTGGGTTATTTCCTTTGAGTGACATACCTCTGGGACTTGGCTCAGAGATGTTTGTGTGCATAGGGGGATAGGGGACTGCAAAAAGCCTTTTCTACCATATGCAAGCTTCCAGAAGTGGGTTTGTGTGGTCACTGCAAAAAGTGGGAGTCAGGATCCCAGGAATTATGACTGTTCCATGACTTGAGCCCCAAAACTCCGGACCTGAATTGCCAGATGCACCCTTGATATCTCCATGTGGCCCATACTCAGCTCTCTCAAACTCAACATGTTCCAGATGGAACTGGTCTTCTTCCCTCAAGACCTGGATTTCTCCTGGGCTCTGGATTTAAGCAGATGGCTGTTCCCATTACCGAATCTTCTAGACCAGAAGCTGGACATTATTCAAATTTCTTCCTTCTTCATCACACCAATAACAACAGAAATAAGAAAACTGTCATTAGCTGAGTTGCTTCACTCCTGGTATGGTAACAAATGCTTCACATTTAGTGTATAATTTACCTCTCATATAACTGTGAAGTTGGTGGTATTATTATCCCCACTGTACAGATAGGAAAACTGAGGCTCAGAAAGAAGGGGAAGCTTTCCAGGAGACGTTCTGACAAAACCTGGTTTCCAACCTAGTTGATTGGGCCTTTCTCTTTCATCCCCTGTGACTCTCTCTCCTCAGCTAAGTTTTTTCAAAGGCACCCAGTAGGTGTTCAGAGAAATGTGCTGGATTGAACTGAACTAACCTTCTAGAGGGTGTTATGAACTGCATCTCCGCCCTGTCCAGTTGGAAACTGTTGCCAACACAAGGTCCTCTTTGGAGAGGAAGGGGAGTGGGCTAAGAGTGAGGAGAGAATGGATGGGAGACTTCAAAGGGAAGGAAAACGATTACTGGGAAGTCTGTTTATAGAGCCAGTGAGTGATGGTGAGGGGGAAAGGCTGAAAAACAAATGGAGGGAGGAGAAGTGCCTGGTTCATGAATCTATCACCAATTCTTTTCATCTGCTGGCCAAATTATGGGCCCCTGTATCTCTGAAAGTCCCCTCATTCCCTAAGCTGGAAGCCCGCACTTGACCACCACCCGGCTCCAAGCAGTGCCTGATGGTAGCGCGGCTTGAAGGTCACCTGTGTGTAGAGTTCAGGCATAATTAGAAACAATAACAAGAAACACTTTTGTAGCATTTACTATGTGCCAGACACTGTTTTGAGTTCTTCTGAATGTTTTTAATCCTCATGAGACAACCTCATGAGGAAGTTACTATAATTAGCCCCATTTTACAGGTAAAGAAACTGAGGCACAGAGATAAGCTTGCCTGAGGTCATACAGGTAGGAAGAGGTAGAACTGGGAGTTTAGCTTAGGAATGTGATAGAGGTGACCCTTTTAACTCCTACACTCTATGCCTCCTGAGCAAAGAGGCTGTCGGTCATGAGTTCAAACCCTGTTGCCCCAAATTGCCATAACTGCATGAATTGGGCAAGCTGCTCCCTCTGTAAGCCTCAATGGCTGCATCTGTGAAATAGGGACAATCATCACAACTGCCTCATGGTGCTGCTGTGATGATTCTTATATAATCCACACAATGGATTTAAAAAGCCCAGCCAGGAAAATAACGTTTCCTGCTTTTCTATTTCACAAGGTTCCACGAGAAGCAAAGAACATAATAGTATGTATATAGTAGCATTTTAAAATTTGCATCTCGAAATAGTGCAAGCACATAAAAGTATAGAGAATAAATATAATAAACTCTCATATATTCAATATCAAGCTTAAAAAATAAAAACTTATGGATGCAGGTGGAGCCTCTTATGTATCTCTCCTTAATTGCCTATCTTCTCCTCCGTCTCCAAGGGTAACCACCACCCTGATTTTGAGGTTTATCATTCATATGCATATCTTTACATTCTTACCCTGGATGTATATATTTATCCTTAAATAACATATATTATGTAACATATGATGTTGTTTCACACATTAAAAAACTTCTGTCCGTATTCTTGTGGAAATTTTGCTTAACACTGTAATTCTGAGACTGACCTATGTTGACACATACATTTCTGGTTGGTTATTTTTAACCACTATGGCTCATTCCACTGAACATACACACCTCAATTTACTCGTTCATTCTCCAGTTAATGACCACGTTGGTAGTTTCCAGGATTTTAGCATCACAAACAATATTGCAGTGGATATTCTTATATATAGCTCTCTTTGCATATATATAAGAGTTTCTCTAGGAGCCATAGCAGGTGTTAAACTGCTTGGTTGAAATGTACATGCATCTTATAGAAGATATTGGCTATTGTTCGTTTGCTCTCCAACACAGTTACACCATTTTATCCTGCCATTTTCTAAATAGTGGCCTGGAAGTCTCATTCATTCACATCCTTGCCAACTCAGTTTTTTTTTTTTCGAATGGCAGCAATTTTTTTAAATGGGAAGCATTATTATTAGGTATACCATGTGGTCTCTTTGGTGGTCAAGGACTTCTGTGTGTTGACAACTGAGCCAGACAGCTAATATGAAGTCTTTTCCAAAAACAAGTCTACAAGAATCTCCATCTTTTCTTTTTCAAAAAGACTTTAATGACATCCCCCCAGTCTGATTCAGAACTCCCTTTTCTGCCATCGTGTAATTTCCCCATCCATGAAACAATTGAAATTGAAATTGCCTGATAATTTTTTCTCAAGTCTCAACTGAACGTCATGAAATTGGTAACTACTAATTTCATTTTAGCACTGGAATTGAACCCACGACCTGATGTGCAGTAGGCACTCAGGAAATTTTTATTGTGTAAATAACTGATACCAATGTAATCCAGAGCTTGATGAATGGTCAGAGGTCCCCACATTTTGTTGAATGGATGGGCAAAACACCAAGTTAAATGGCAAGTGGAAGAAGCCCAGATGCTGAGGGAGAACCTTCTATTTATCTGCTCATTCATTTATTCAGGCATTCATTTTTTAAATAAGCATTTGTTGCATACTGATTGTGTGTAAGGTCCATGGACTCCACCTTTGAGCACGCCCATCCTGTGTTATTTTGAGGTGTGATAGATTCTATGTCAGAGGTGAGCTCAGAAAACATAAAACTAACTCACCTGGGAATGGAGGCAGCAAAGTCTTCCCAGAGGAGCTGGTACCCCCGAAGTCCTCTGTTCTGTCCTCTCCCCACCATGTCCCCTGCCGTCTCCTGGGGACACCCCTGTTCCTCAAACTGCCTAAGAGGTCAAATTCAGTTGCTGGATTCATGTCTCTTTTACCTTCAATTTCACCCAAATCAAAAGCCAAAAGGTCAACAAAGCAGAGGTGTCAGCTGAAGTGCTTTTGAATTTGGTTCAGGGAGGTCGATGAGGAGGTTTGCTTCTTTCTTTGGCTATCACCCAAGAAAGAAAAGATGGGAGAAAGGGGAGTGGGCTTTGCTGACATTGAGGACAGGGGCTGGAAGCAAGGGGGAGGGAAACATCTTGAAAGAGACAAAAGCAGGCTCCATGATATCCTGGTTTTTGGATCCAGGGCCCAGCATCTTAGAAACTCACACCTAGGGATCTGCCAAGCAGTCCTGCAAACACACCTCCCAGCACAGGCACAACCATAAACCACTCAGCCAGCACTCGCTGGCTTCACCGTGATGGGCCCATGATGTATTTACCCAAAGAGAAGAAGTGAAAGGTAGCTGTAGGCATGAAGCCATAAATACATCCTGGTGTTCAGGTGACATCATCCCAAACTCCCCGCACAGTGCTCCATGGTTTATGAAATCACAACACCAGGCGGCGTCTCCTGGGCGGATGGGGTGGGCAGCTCTAAATTTATTTGACCTAATTCATTTAGTTTTTTCCCTTTCGCTTTCCAGGGGAGGGGTTTGTCAGGACTTCTCCTTTTCACTTGAGGAGAATTCACCTACCTCCTTTACTTTCTTCTGGGGTGTCTGGGATGAGAACAATGGAATCTTGAAAATAGCAGGAAAGTGGATCTGCTCAGAGAGCAAAATGACTGCTCCATAATTTTGGAGAAATGGGTCCCTGTGAGTATATGTCAAGCTCAAAGAGTAGCCAATCTTTCAATGTTGGCTTTTTCTTTGGACCTTAAATATCCAAGGTAAAAATTTCTATTTGCTCTGTTCACTGCTATATCCCCAGTGCCTGACACAAAGTATACACTCTAAAAATATTTATTGAATACGTGAACCATTGCTGGTGCCCAGGCTGAAAGGTTCTGATGAATTTCACTGCTAACTGAAAATAAGGACTAACTCTGAAATTCCTTGATTTCATTAAGCCTCAGTACCCATTCTTAAACACCGAGGAGAGGGGTACACATCAATAAACCTTTCTGGAGGGAAAATTTAAAACATATTTTTAAAAGCCTTGATGCCTAGTAATTCTACTGCTAGGAATTTATCCTAAGGAAGTAATCAGAACTCTGCACCAATATTTTGGTATAAGATGTTCATTGCAGTGTTATTTACAATAGAAGGAAACCAGAAAGAATGTAGGTGTGCAGCAATCAGAAACTGGTCAATTAGATTATGTCAACATGTTTAATATTTTAGGAAACTACTACAGAAACTAAATATGCATAGTCTCTTTGTAAGTGGAGACTGGTGGGTTATAAAACACTACACACTGTATGATCCCACTTTTATTAGAAAAAAATATGCATACAGAAGACTGTGTGCTAATAAGCTTACAGAAGCTATCTCTGGGTGGTGGAATTAGGTTCTTTAAATTTTTTTCATTGTTTTATTTTATTTCTCAGTTTTCTACAGGAAGCATAACTCAACTGAACAATAAATATCATGAAGAAATCTTAGAGTAAGGGGCCATAATATTTTGAGAGAAGGGTACATTTACATGCAAGCTGTGTATAGAACTAGAGGTCCCTTAAAGCAGGGTGGTTTGTTTTAAAGGTTCAATCTCCCACTCCACTAGTCAGTCAGTCATCCTAATAAAAAGTGGATGTTGGTGACCTAGCCACATGTATTTCCTTCTGCTATACTGAGCTATCACTTTTTGCACCTGAATTTCCTTACATAGGGATCATGACATTTTAGTAGATCTCAAGTTTTTCCAAATCAATCACTAAGTGGGTTACATGGTATATTAGCCAGCTGGTGCTGCAAGAATGCTTTCAGCATTCAACAGTTCCCTCCCTCACCACCAAATTCAATGGTTTAAAGTAACAAGCATTTATTTCTTGCTCAAGAATCCAGGAGCTGACTGTAGTTCAGCTGCTCATGGCTGGGCTCAGCTGGGAGGGCTCCATTTCCAGATTGGGATAAGGTCTGATTTATCATCTCTCTCATTCCTTCTTGGACCAGTGGCCACTCAGGATATGTTCTTAACATGAAGAATGGGAGAAGCATAAGAAGCAAGCATTTATAGCCTCTACTTGTGTCACATTCCCTAACATTTCATTGGCCATACCAGGTCACATGCCAAAACTCATGAAAGTGGAGCAGAGTCTACCCATTCTAGTGGGAAATCTTGCAAAGTCACATGTCAAAGAGTGTGGATGTGTATATCAAGTATAGGGAACTTATATTGCTAATAACGACTCCATCTATCACATGTGGGAAACCCAGTATCTGTCCACGGCTAACTTTCACTTTTCCTTGTCTTTGTCAAAGATCACAACACTTCAGAGACATCAAAGGTTCCTCCATTCAGATTACAGGGCCTTAGCCATATGTATTTGGTCGTGTCCTGCATATCCATGAGGTCTCTTAATGGTTCATGCATCTTTGTCTTGTCTTTACTGCAAAATTGCAGACAAAAGACACAGCAGTACTTTTGCTTGTTTTAGAGACACAGAATCTCACTCTGTCACCTTGGCTGGAGTGCAGTGGTGCCATCATAGCTCACTGTAGTCTCGAACTCCTGGACTCAAGTGATCCTCCCACCTCAGCCTCCTGAGTACCTGGGATTACAAGTGCAAACCACCGTGACTGGTTAATTTTTAAATTTTTGTAGAGACGGGGTCTCACTATGTTGCCCAGGCTGATCTTGAACTCCTGGGCTCAAGTGCTCTTCCTGCCTTGGCCTCCCAAAGTGCTGGGATTATAAGTGTGAGCCACTGTGCCTAACCACAAACAGTACTTTATGTCTTCTTAATAGGCTCAGCATCACACAGTAGGGCTCTGAGTGGATACTCCAGACTCAACACATTTATTTCTGGGCTATGGGGTGGTTTGTAGAGTGTCAACTTGGTTAAGCTGGAATTATGTTTCCAGGAGTTCTTTTGGTCTTCAGGTCTGAATTAGACTTGGCCAAAAACCGAATTCCTGTAAGAGTGGAAGGGTAGATGAAGCAGCAGCCAGTAGCCCTGGAGGGCCACCCTGGTTAGATGAGGTGACAAGTGCAGAGGTGTCAGCAGGTCTCAGCATGCCCTTACTTTCCTCTGTTCTCTGCAGCTCTGTTGATCCTGCTGACCAACAGCAGACCCAGTCTCTCCACCAGGTACTTGGAGCTGGACTCATGGAGGCTGTAGTTACACAGAGGCAGGGGTGGACCCCTCTTCCTCCCACCCTCTTCCCTCTCAAGCTTCTCCTCAATAGTCCCATTGTGGCTGCTGGACATGTGTGGATTCTCAGGTTAGGTGGCTTTGTCACCATTTTTAATGAGGAAACTGAGGAAAAGCAATGTCAAGTAACTTTCCCAATGTCAGATTACTTGCTTCTTCAGAGATTCTATGGCTGTCGGTACAAATCTTGGCCACTAAGCTACATAAAATAGAGAGTTGGGAAGAGGGAAGGATGATGTGAGCACTGTGTCAGGCAAGGTCTGAAACCAGTGATTATAAGACATGGATACCATTTCATGTCTGCACTTCTCTTCTAAATGTGATAGATTAAATGATTGGTCCCAATGACCCACTCCTCTGAGGTCGTATCACATGTCCACACCTTTACTGTGGTTGAAAGCACATTTTCCTGCAACTCGACTCTGGGCTTGGCCACATGACTTGTTTTGACCAAAGGGATGTTAGTAGATATGATGTGAGCAGAAGCTTAGAATGTGCTTGTGCAGTTGGTTTTGATCTCTTGCACTCTGATGATCTATCATGAAAGAAAAATAAGTCCTAGGTCGTCACTGCCCTTTCAGCCTGGACTCCAGGATGAGACACATGGAGCAGATCACATGACCTGGATGGTCACTGGTCCAGGAAGTCAGACCTGGACTCAAGGTGGAGGCTGAAGTCCTGCGTAGCTGAGCTGAGTTGCAGCTGACCCACAGACCTGTGAGCATGACAATGGATAACAGTTTTAAGCCACTGAGCTTTGGAGTAATTTTGTTATGCAGCATTGTTGTGGCAAGAGCTAACACAGTAAAACATCCGTTTCCATGGAAGGGAAAAGATGATAAAGAGTGTGCATAGTAAGTTCTTATTTAAATATATATTTTGTATGTGTGTGCATTTGTATGGAAGCCCTTAGGTCAAATGTTAATGGGGGTTTTCTAAATGTATGGGATTTCCAGGAAACTTTCACTGTATAAATTATATATAGTTGTAATGTTTGATTGTTTAAACAAAAAATATATATAATGACTTTGTAATCACACAATATAGATTGGTTTTTCTTTACAAAAGTTCTGGTTGCTAATAGATCTGTCAACAAGAAGTGACTTTGTCCTAAATAAAAATGCAAAGATTTCCTTAGGAGGATTTTTCCTCAGCCAACCAGATTTCACTAGCTTTATGACGTGACCAAAATCTTTGAGAGCACCAAGGTGAGAGGTGGGAAAAAACAAACAGGAGATGATTTCTCCAGAACAGTGGATCTCAACTGGCAGTGACCTGTCTCTCCAAGATGGTTGGGCAATAGCTGGTGATGTCTTTGTCACCACTGGGGATTGCAGTGGGGTGGGGAGGAGGCAGTGTATGCTATTAGTATCTAGTGCATAGAAGACAAGGATACTACCAAACATCCTACAATGCATAGTACACCCCAACCTCCCCCAACAAAGAATCATCTAGCCCCAATATCAATAGTGCTGAAGCTGAGAAACACTCTTTCAGAGGCTGTCTGTGACACCTTCTCTGGTCCCAAATTTGGGACAGGCTGGAGAGGCACAGATGAGCACACTTCACAGGAACCCAGCTTGGGGCACTGAACATTAATCCAGAGCTTGTCCAATGCGAGTAACTTGCAGAGCACGGTCACTCTGAACTTTGGGACAGAAGATTGAGCAAGTATGGGGTTCGAGAGGTAGGACAAACTCTGAGATGTTACAGAGTAGAGTCCTTGGCTCCAGATAGGGCTGGTGGCCAAGACAGAGCATGTGGTCGGTTCACAGCATGGGAGCATCTGTGCTATACCAAGATTACTCATAGGATAAAATTAGACCTCCAGACCCACGCAAATACTAATCTGCTTTCTGTCTCCATGAATTTGCTTTTCCTGAGCACTGCATATAAATGGTATCATACTATATGAAGTCATTTGCTATTAGCTTCTTTCACTCAGCATAAGGTTTTAGAGATTCATCCATGTTGTAGTATGCATCAATTTTTTTTTTTTTTTTTTTTTTTTTGCTGAGCAGTATTCCATGGTTGGATATACTAAACCAACCACATTTTATGAATCCATTGACCAGCTGATGGACATTTGGATTGTTTTTAAAAATGTATTTATAATTATGCAATTTTAATTATATTTGAAAAACACTAGTATTTTTATATATGCGTATGTGACCCAGAATATAAAGATTTCTTCAAATATGTAAATGCTGCAAAACAGATTCCCTATCTGTCTATCTATCTATCTGATCTTTCCACATTTTCAGGAAAATCTCAATGGTTTAGAATTCTTTAACTTGGAAGCCATATGGTTATTTAGCAGAGAGGATTTAAAAAACAGAACAAACTAAATACATCTGTGCTTAATTGTAGCTAATATTTATTAAAAGTTTATCTTATGCTTGGAAACTATTGCAGTGCTTGACATGTATCAATTCATTTTATTGCCTTGACCACTCTAAGAGGAAGGTATTGTTATTATCCTTATTTTACAGATGAGGAAATTGTGGAGCAAAAAGATTAATGATGTGTTCAAGGGCACATGGTTAGGAAATAGCAGGATTTGAAGCCAGGGAGTCTGGCTCACACTCCCAGCCTCCTATGCATGCACTGATTTTTTTCAATCAATATAAATTACTTTACTTATTACAATCTGGTTATTCTTTGGCTTTAAAACATCCATGCCAATATAAGCTAGTCATTGCATTTCTCTCCTCATGCTAGAATTCTCGTCTGAACTTTTTGATGACGTATCCAGTGTTGAGCCTAAGACTATACAGGCTTTGAAGTGCTGCCACTTGGTAGCATTGTGCAACCCCAAACAGGTACTTCAACCTCTCCAAGCCTCCGTTCTCTCACCTGAGAAATGGGAATTATAAACCTCGTAGGGTTGCTCTAGCATTAAATAAGATGAACATTAGATGCCTTGCACATAGAAAGCATTGACTAGTGTAAACCTGTGTAACTTTTGTCACATTTGTGTCATGCTATTACTCATGCTCACATCAGCTGTTAATATGCATACACAATATGCATTACTACTTTTATACACATCCACATCTATATTTATATTATACAACTACAGGCACTCGCCTGGAATTGTGAAATCAATCTCAGGACAGCAGGGGCAGGCTCCAATCTGAACAACCTTTCAGAAGGGAGCAGGGAAAAATCCTTGCTCAGGACACACACAGATCCCTAGACGCCCAGGCAGCCCTCTCCACTCCCCCCAACCCCCATCGTCCACCCCATCCCCCTCTCCTCCAGCATTCCAAACTGCAGAGGCTGACCCTGTCTCTCTTGATGATTTAAGTTTTGGAGAAGGACCGGAGAAGGATTTGTTTTGACATTTAAAGGCAATCCAGGTAATGAATGGCAGGGGCGGCGTCCACCTCCCTGTCCATATATCTGTGCAACAGTATCTATTTTTGACGTAGCTGACACGCCATTTCCTTTAGCAGCACAAGGGGGGCTCGTCTTTAAATTAAACTCGTCTCCGGCCCCTCCGATCTGCAGCTCGATCAGGGGCAGACACTGTTGAGGGAAGCCAGAGAGAAGGGGCAGGCCTGCTGGCGGTCAGTGATGCATGATGGAAGGAACCGGGAGGCGCGCCCTGGAAGCAGCACTCTCTCCAAAGCACTCACTAATGACCGAGGACAGCCCCGAGTCTTCTAATCACCTTTAATGTGCACTTTAGAAGCTGACTTTAAAGCAGGCGAGATAAGCAGATCAGACAAACAGACAAAGAAAACAAAATAAAATCATATAATTGTCTCTAGGCAGCTGATTTTGGATGAGGAGGAGGCGATGCGCTGGATTAAGAATTTACTAGGGCAGAGTCGTCCAGGCTTCCGTGAGTGCTTTTGTTTCAATAACTAGCAGACCCTCAATCCCCAACCCACTGCCCAGGGGGTCCCAGAATTCTGTTCCTGAGAGTTAACTTGGTAGAGTGGAGAGCAAACGTTAGCATGGGAGTCAGCAAAGTCCAGCTCCGCCGTCTTGCTAGCTGGGAGGCAAGTCTCTTTCTTTGCCCAAGGCTCAGTTTTCTCCTGGGTAATAAGTCCTTCATGTCCTTTGAAGGGTTATTGTGGGGATCTAAACGCAGAGGAAGAGATAGAGAGACAGAAAGACAAAAAGAGATAGGAAGGAGGAGAAGGGGGAGGTGGAGGAGGGGGAGCAGGAGAAGGAGAAAGGAGAAAAAAGGAGAGAAGAAAGAGGAGAAGGAGGAGGAAGAGAAAGAATATATGTGCAAGCGATTTATAAACTGCTGCAAAGCACTTTCCAAATGTTGCAATTATTACATAACTATGAGGAGACATTTGGGGTCTACCTGAGGAAAAACAGTAACAATAAAAGAAGGTATTAAGCTGGCCTGTCTTTTAAGCCATGCAAACATTTCTATCCATGCTTTGCCGTTATTCTTCCCTCCAACCCTTTCTCCCTGAGGTCCTGAATCTTTGATCTTTCTCTTAAAAAATGTTTTAAATACAGTAAGGGCATCTTAGAGTTTGTGTGATCCCTTCTGATTTAAACTTTAGCTAAAACAAAGACCTCCTGGAGAATACCATCGCCAAGTTGGCCTCTCTGATATCTGGGTAAATTTTCTTCCTGTCAGAGCAAAGAATAGTGGAGTGGGTGAATGTGTTACAGGGGAGCAGAAGATTCCAGTCTCATATACAGGCTTACCCACCTTTCATCTGCTAGCCAAGAATTCTCGCGACATGGAATTTGGGTGGGAAACAATTGCAGCTTCTCACTGAGCCAAAGTCACCTTAGGCCTTGGCACTGATTCCTACGGGATGATGGAAAATGTGTCCCAAGAACCAGAAAGAGAAACAATGAGGAACTTCTTTCCAGAAAGCTACTGTCTACTCAAGACCTTCAGTGCAGTGGCAGAGGGAGATTGGTGATCAGTCTTCAAACTTGGTCTAGTGCAAGCGACCCACTGGGTCCCTGTGCCCCCATCTCCCAGGACCCACAGGATCCCATTGCCTCAGAAAAATGACATTTCTTTGGTCTCTGGATAGAAACAGACTAAGGGACTGAAGTGGTCCATGCCCTGTTGGTGATGGCTCCCTTTTTCATGACATCTATTCCTATCTCATGGAATTAGATACTTAGAGAACTTGCTTTGGGAAAACACTGTTTCGGTGCCAAACTTGGCGTTGAACCCACCTCTTATCACCAATAATGACCCTGAAGGTGGCCCTGTTTAGAGATGATAAAAAGAATATCTCAGATTTGCATGATTTTTAAAGAGCCTAAAATTTGGAATATTGCTAGCTAACATGCTAAGTAACGAATTTAAGCTCATATTTATTTTTTAATGTGATGCGAAAACATAGGATGAAGAAGTGGCTTCATCCCAGCTGCTGTGACTGTAACTTGACGGTTTGGGTTACTGAAACTCACCAATAATAAGGTCAAAATAACTCAAGGAATACAACCTAAATGTCCATTAATTGATGAATGAATAAGCAAAATGGTTTATCCATACAATGGTATGTTATTCAGCCATAAGAAGAAGGAAGTACCTACATGTGCCACACTTGAATGAAACTTGAAAACATGATGCTGAGTGAAAGAAGCTGATACGGTTTGGCTCTGTGTCCCCACCCAAATCTCATCTTGAATTGTGATCCCCATTTTTTGAAGGAGGGACCTGGTGGGATGTGATTGGATCATGGGGGTGAATTCCCCCCTTGCTGTTCTTGTGAGAGTGAGTGAGTTCTCTCAGCTGATCTGGTTGTTTGATAAGCATTCGGCACTTTCCCCTTCTGGCTCTCTCTCTCCTGCCACCACGTAAGATGTGCCTTGCTTCCCCTTTGCCTTCTTCCATGATTGTAAGTTCCCTAAGGACTCCCCAGCCATGTGAAACTTGAGTAAATTAAACCTCCTTTCTTTATAAATTACCTAGTCTCTGGCTGTATCTTTATAGCAGAGTGAGAACGAACTAATACAGAAGCCAGTTATAAAAGACCACATATTGCAAGATTCATTCATATAAAATGTCTAGAACAGGAAATTCTATATATAGAGAAAGCAGATCCCTAATTGACAGGGCTGGGAGGGACAGGGGTTAGGGGAATCAGCTAAAGGGCACAGTGTTTCTTTTTGAATGTTCAAAAATGGACCGTGGAGATAGTTGTCTGTATCTGTAAAAATACTGAAAATCATTGAGTTGTACACTTTCAAGGAGTGAATTGTATGACGTGTGTGATTTATATCTCAATAAATTTGTTTAAAGAAATAACTCAGAGTTGGCCAGGCATGGTCGCTCATGCCTGTAATCCCAGCACTTTGGGAGGCCGAGGCAGGCAGATCACTTCAGGTCAGGAGTTTGAGACCAGCCTGGCCAACATGGTGAAATCCCATCTCTACTAAACAAAAATACAAAAATTAGCCAGGCGTGGTGCTGTGCACCTGTTATCCCAGCTATTCAGGACGCTGAGGCAGCAGAATCGCTTGAACCCAGGAGGCGGAGTTTGCTGTGAGCCGAGATCATGCCACTGCACTCCAGCCTGGGTGACAGAGTGAGACTCCATCTCAATAAAAAAATAAATAAAATAATAACTCAGAGGCATGTGGGGCTGCAGTCACAGAATAGCATCTAAACCAAGGTTCTGTTTGATGGGAACAGCACTAGGATTCAGGTCTGGGGTTCCAGTGTTTGTGAACGACAGGAAATACCAAGAGGAAGGGATCCCGGAAGTTTAGACAAACAGATGAAGCGGTCTGTGACTGCAAATCCTGGGGACAGAAGCTGCTGCCCACAAATATGTAGAGAATTGTGCTGTTGAAGAGAAAACAGCCTCATTCTGAGTAATTGATGAAGTTTACTTGGGAAGTCAACTTCAGCTGAACATGTGGTTGAAGTTTTAAAAGGGAGAGTTCTTCTTGTGTGTGTGTCTTTGTTGGGGAGCAAGAACTCCCTGTCAAGGCAGCATTCATGAACAAAGTGAGGACAGTCTACCTGGAATGTTAAGAAAGCATTTCTGCACTAAGGATAGACTTTGGAATAGAAGCCTGCCGAGAACATGTCCAATTCTTAAAAGACTATGATTCCAGGAAGACTAGACCCCAAGTTCACTAGAATCTTGCTAAAGCAACATTTGCTTTGGAACAAAACTCAGGATGAGTTGGTCTGAGAAGCCTGAATTATAAAAACTATCAGAAGACCACATTGTAAGGCTTCTGGAGGGCTTGTCTGGAGGTTCTAGGAGGGGAGAGCTGCTACTCCTACACCCTTGGCTAAGAACAGCCCTCTTCTATCGGTAAAAGTCATCTTCTTTGACTGTGTGGGCAGCTTTGGGAGGAATGCACATTGAGTGGTGGGGGAGGAAGGGGACACTCACCTAGCCAGCCAGATCAGCCAAGTCAACCCTGGTGATCAATGGGGTGGCAGATGTTGCAGCCAGGTCGCCCTCACATCCTTGAGTTGTCATCCTTGGGGACAGTGTTTCTGTGATGACCTAAAGGGCCACCCTCGGGAGACAGTGACATACATTGGATACGAGCATGACTTTGGAGTTACGGA
This sequence comes from Homo sapiens, assembly GCF_000001405.40. NCBI lineage: Eukaryota > Metazoa > Chordata > Mammalia > Primates > Hominidae > Homo > Homo sapiens. The sequence goes on from NC_000012.12 coordinate 114,505,292, forward strand.
GACCTGGGTTTGAATTCTGGCCCTGCCATTTATTCTCGGTAGGATACCGGGGCAAATTAGACTCTCGGTTTTCTCATTTACAATATCGGAGTAATTATATAGACACTATTGTGTCAGAGAAGCATTACAATAAGGGCTCTTATTGACACTCCAAATTCTTTCTTTTTCTGGATCACAAAAACAAAACCAATATGTGGTAAAAAAAAAAAAATTGTCCTCCAAAACATACATATTGAAAACCAGAAGCAAACATGCCCTGAAATTGTGCCTCTCAGATATACCTGCTATTTATCCTTTAACTTTTATATATTTTTCACATATACTTCAATGAGTTTTATTATTTTTATCATGAAAAAATACAATAAACTTGACACATTAAACATTAAAACTTGACAACACCCTTACAACATTCTGTGTGCTCTCCTACAAGTCTACTATCAGTTAAAGTTGTCTTCTTTGACTGAGCGGGCAGCTTTGGAAGGAATGCCCATTGAGTGGTGAAGGAGGAAGGGGACACCCACATAACCAGCCAGATCAGCCAAATCAACTCTGGTGATCAATGGGGTGGCAGATGTTGACTCCAACATCCTTTGATAAAACATAGCAGGTTAAAGGTCTAAGAGATATAGGTACTAGGAACCTTCAGATTTGGAAATCTAGTCTTTATCATCACCTCCACCTCCGTCATCACAACCACCACTGCCACCATAACTACTATCACCCCCAGACCATCATCATATCGACTACCACTACCACCACAACACAATTATCATCACTACCACTGCTTCCATCATCCCTACCATCACCATAACCTCACCCCCACCTCACCAACACCATCATCACCATCACCGCCATCACCACAATCACCACCATCATCAGCACTAAAACCAGCCATCACTACTATCATTGTTACTGTCATCAGCACCACTATCATCATCAACACCATAATTACCACCATAATCACCACCATCACCATCACCACCATCATCACTACCAGTTATAAAGTGCCCCTGGGCAAGCCACTTGATCTCTCTAGATTCTATGTGTGCATCTCAGGCTTTTGTTTACCCATCTTTAATTCAGCGTTAAATATCTACCTGACCCTACACAAAGTTTTAATAGCCCTTTCCTCTATCATTTGTATCCAGATCCCAGGAGACTTATTGGCATTCAGTTTTAAGCGTCCACACTAGGTGAAAATGCACTACATTTTAAATTTATGTTAAAATTCTCTGTAGCCCATACATTGGGAACTTCTCTGATCCAAAGTAAGTTTTTACTGTCAAGTTCTGGGTCTCTAAGACCAGAGATCTTAGAAGATTTAAACACACAAATGCATCCAAGAAAGAGCAGGAGAAAAGCCAGCAATACAGAGAGGACTTCCTCAGCCTGGTGGTTGTGATGCCCCGTCTTGAGAGTAAACTTCCCCCAATAATCTGGGCAGTCTTTTATTTTTCTGGCCTCCATCACTGACCTGTTGCCTCATGGCAGTGCATTTCTGAGACACGATCAAGACATTCCATTGAGTTATACTACATCCAAATATCAGACGCTGCCTTTGAACCCTTCTGACAAACCACAAACTTAGGAACCAACGTTGACACAACACTCAGCGGATTCAAAACACTGAGCAGGGGAAAGGAGAGGGTGTGGGAAAAGGCTCTTTGATTAAATGTGTTTCTTTCTCTTTGTGCTCTAATGGGGTCTAAGGTACTGCCTGGCATCTTGGAAGTTCACGTGCTTGTTTTCTGAAGAAAGTCTCTGTCACATCCTCTCTCAGAAGTTTTCGGCCAAGAGCAATATTAGAGATTTGTTATTGGTTTAAATAACCCAGCATTTCCATGGATAAACATTCAAGCAAGAAAAGGAAAGCATAGAGGAGAAACTTCTCTTAAGAGAAAAAAAGGATGTGAAGAAAGTCAAGATATTAGCAGTCAATGTGTCTCATTTTCCAAAGAATTAGGCTTATCTTTTCACAGACCTTTGTCTGCTGGAATGACTGTCTAACCTCCATGCCACGTTTTTAATCCCTGCAAACTGATTTTAGTTTTTGCCAAGATGGATGTTGGATCTGAATGAAAACCAGAGTCATTTATCTTTGCCAAGGCATTTTCTTCTTCTTCCGCAGCGGAAAGTTATGGAGATAGGTGCTTTCTCATCGGAATGTGCCCCTTCCAAAATTATCAGGCTCCTGTGGTTTGCTGATAACCAAAAAGACTCAAGCTCAGAGGTGCAGAAACTCATTGAGGATAAATGAAGAGACCATTAAAAAGAAGACATATGTCTTTGTAGCCAAAGAGGCAACCAAGAAGATATTTTCTGAATGTGGGGTAACTTCATTTGCTAAAATGGGGGTCATGAATGATTATGCACCTCCATTTTCAAAACTGGACTCAAATTCCTTTACTTGTACCTCTTCTTTAGGCCTAATGTTGGGGGGGGAACATTAGCATTCCAGGCACCTTTTCAATTAAGAATAAAGGCTACAGGGCAATTTAAAGCCAATGACTGATTTCTTCCTCTCCCCTCTGCTCACGGAGGAGCCGAATTTTCTTTGAAGCCAGGATCGGAATCTGAAGCCTGGTCAATAAGACAGCTTAGACTGCTCAGAGAGAGCCTACTTTGGTTTGAGGTATAGGATAAATGTCTAAGGGCATTTCTGTCCTCCTCAGTGAAGCCAGGTGTGTGTTTTGTTGAGAGAAACAGCAAACAGATACAGATGCTAGCATTATACAAATACAGTGTTAGCAACCCCAACACTGCGGGACTTAGAAAGCATTTAATTCTTCTAATTCATTACCATTTATCACCTATCTCTCAGCTCAAAGAGCCTGGAGATTTGGAGTTTCTTTTAGGGATGCCAAGAATAAGCACATCACCCACTAGGGTACCCATCTCATATTAATTATTAATAGTTACAAAACACTCCGGTTATAGGTTGTATGATATTTGGCTACACATTAAGCCATCAATCTTACTAAATTTCCTTTAACATGCAGGAAATAAAAGCCAAGAGTACCTCCTTGGAAGCCAAATGGTGCAGAAAGAGGAAATTGATGAGGGTTATGTCACTCAGTAGTGAATCTGATTCATCAGAAGTGAAAAAAGTCATCAAAAACTTTGTTCAAAAAGCCACAGGTTATTTTGAGCAAAGTCTGTTTCTCCCCCCATATGCTGATAGATTTCCTCTCATGGTTAAAGCTACACGTTTTTTCACAGAATATTAAAGTTATCAGAATTTGGAAGATAGAAGACCCATGGCAGCAAAGGTTCTGGCCTATTTGCTAGAAGATTTCCACTGGTTTGGGGCAGCTTGCAGGGCCATTGTCCTTTTGTGTTTCTGGCTGATGGGATGGAAAGGGACAGAAAACCAACCTCGGTTCATGCGGTGTTGGTACTGCCTGGAAATATGTATTGTTAGTGCCCTCTAGCGGCCGAGTCTTGGCTGGACATTAAAAGACATTTTTCACCATGAGCTGGGTGTTGAGTGCTTTTAAAAAGCAATTTTGCAACTTGGCTGTGGCCACTGTGCTCTGCTTGGAGTGGCTTTAGACTTCATGATGCTGGTGCTTTCATGTTAAACTGTTTCAAAGCCTCTTGTGGAAGCAAGAGCGTTTGAACTAAACTACAATTTTTGAAAATGGCAACTTGAAATATTTTTACCTCCAACGTAGACCATTCTTTGCCTGCATGCTTCCCTCTGGATTGTCTGTTCCCAAAAACAGCATCTTCATTCAATGAGTAAATGTTTTCTATTACTCAAATTTATTTGGCAAAATAGACTCGGGTAATAGAACATTTTTTTCTTCTTCATACTAATTGTGTGCCTTGCGAAGGCTCTAAAATCATTCCATTTTGACCTAGAAATTCATTTTCTAGGAGTTTTTCCTAAGGAATCACTATGAATATGAACAAGATTGAGGAACAAGCTACTTCTTAGAAGGTTATTCGTAATAAAGAAGAAAACAACCACCTAACGGGCCAACAATACAGACATTGATAAATTATAGTTCATCCAACTCATGGAGTAGGAGGTAGTAATTAAAAACAACATATTATGATTAGAACCGGAAATACCATTTGACCCAGCAATCCCATTACTGGGTATATATCCAAAGGAATATAAATCATTCTCTTATAAATACACATGCACACCCATGTTCATTGCAGCACTATTCACGATAGCAAAGACATAGAAACACCCCAAATGGCCATCAATCAATGACAGACTGAAGAAAGAAATGTGGTACATATATACCACGGAATACTATACAGCCAGAAAAAGGAATGAGAACATGTCCTTTGCAGGGACATAGATGAAGCTGAAAGCCATTATCCTCAGCAAACTAACGCAGGAACAGAAAATCAAACGCCACGTTCTCACTTATAAGTGGGAGCTGAACAATGAGAACACATGGACACAGGGAAGGGAACAATACATGCTGGGGACTGTCGGGGGAGGATGGGGTGGGGTGAGAGCATTAGGAAAAAGAGCTAATGCATGCTGGGCTTAACACCTAAGTGATGGGTTGATAGGTGCAGCAAACCACCATGGCGAACGTTTGCCTATGTAACAAACCCACACATCCTGAACATGTACCCCGGAACTTAAAAAATAAAATTAGATAAATAAATAAATAAAACGTACTATGGTTTAAGAAGATCCTTTTCAAACAGCTGGGGACACTGGTCACTCAAGTGACTTTCCCGGTGTCTCACACAAATCCTCAGTGGTGGTTATGTGGGTGTTGATTTTGCAGTAGGTCATTGAGCTACACATTTTCTGAATATATGTATTTATAATTTTTAAAGAATATTTTTTATAGTTTAAAAGAAGATTTAAAAAAAAAATCAAAGAGACCAGGTATTCTAATCCTTAATTTAGCTCTGTTTCCCACACTAGTCTACTCCTTGGAGGAACGAAGGCACAAAAGAGAAAAGATGGAATTATGGTCTCTGGGAACTAGATTTTAAAATTGCATTTAAGAAATACCTAATGTAGACGACGGGTTGATGGGTGCGACAAACCACCATGGCACGTGTATACCTATGTAACAAACCTGCACGTTCTGCACATGTATCCCAGAACTTAAAGTATAATTTTAAAAAATTGCATATAGAACATCCCATTGGTGGGACTGGATTTGTTTGCAAATGGTCTTGTCAGTGGTGAAGTGGAAGAGAATGTGGAGCCCCACTCAAATGAAGTTTGCAACTTGTCAGCAGATCTGGAAAAACAATACAGTTAAAATTCTTGACTCTCTGGAGATAGGAAATTATTAATAAATTTCACGAATGCATATTTCCTTATTGCCATTACAGTTGTGAGGGATGGCTGTATCTTTTGCTGTTATTTTTAAACCCCATAGAATATTTGTAGAAAAACAATTTATCTAAATGTATGAGGTAGTTTATAACTTCTCTACATTTCCATGTCAGAAGCAAAGAGATAAATAGTTAATTCTGAGTTACGTTTAATAAGTATTCATTTGTATCTCTTCACCAGAGACGAGAGAAAAGCAGCTTAGTCCCAGACCTCAAGGTACCCCCGAATGGCTGGGAGGAAGTTTGACATCCTTGAAAAAAAATAGAGAGCAACATAAGGCAAGTGAATGCGGTGTACAGTATAAGCATTATAATGCTCTAAGGAATAAAATCAAGTGTCAAGATGCATAGTTTATAGTAAGGAGATATTGCGTCAGGCTAATTCGGATATAAATCTGTATGAACATGTGATCTTAAATCTCTATGGCTCCACTTTATCTACAAAATGAGAATAATATTGCTACTTACTATTGTAAAGATTGAATGCACATTGTGCTTCCATGTTTATTGCAGCACTATTCACGACCACCAAAATTTGAAGCAACTTAAGCATCTGCTAACAAACGAATGGATAAAGAAAATGTGGTACACATACATGATGGAGTACTATTCAGCCACAAAAAAGAATGAGATCCTGTCATTTGCACCAACATGGATGGAACTGGAGATCATTATATTAAGTGAAATGAGCCAGGCACAGAAAGACAAACTTTGTGTGTTCTCACTTATTAATGTGAGTTTAACATGAAAACAACTGTACTCGTGAAGATAGCGGGTAGAATGATGGTTGCCAGAGGGTAGGAAAAGCAGTGGGGAGTGGATGGAAATTGGGGATGGTTAATGGATGTGAACATAGAGTTAGATAGAAGGAATAAGATCTAGTATTTGATAGCACAACAGGGTGACCACAGTCAGCAATAATTTATTGTACATTTCAAAATAACTAAAAGATGGGGCCGGGGGAGGAAAAGCATCAAGAGAAATAGCTAATGGATACTGGGCTTAATACCTAGGTGATGGGTTGATCTGTGCAGAAAACCACCGTGGCACATGTTTACCTATGTAACAAACCTGCATATCCCGCACCTGTACCCTGGAACTTAAAAGTTGAAGAAAAATAAGGAACGCATTTAAACCATCTGACTGGCAAAACAACAACAACAACTAGAAGAGTATAATTGGATTGTTTGTAACACAAGGAGAGGATAAATGCTTGAGATGATTTATACCCCATTTATCCTGAGGTGATTATTATGTATTGTATGCCTGTATCAAACTATCTCATGTACCCCATAAATATATACACCTACTATGTACCCACAAAAGCTTTTTAAAAATAATTTAAAAATTTAATATTTTAAAATTAAAAAAAGAAAGAAAATGCACATTGCAGGCCGAGCGCGGTGGCTCACGCCTGTAATCCCAGCATTTTAGGAGGCTGAGGCGGGCGGATTGCCCGAGCTCAGGAGTTCGAGACCAGCCTGGGAAACACGGCAAATTCTCTATGAAAAATACAAAAATTAACTGAGCATGGTGGTGTGTGCCTGTAATCCCAGCTACTCAGGAGGCTGAGGCACAAGAATCGCTTGAACCCGGGAGGTGAAGGTGAAGGTTGCAGTGAGCCGAGATCGTGCCACTGCACTCCAGCCTGGGCGACTGTGAGATTCTATCTCAACAAAAAAAAAAAAAAAAAAAAAAAAGCACATGGCTGGATTAAATGCTCAAACATATTAATATAATATTAATTACCAGTGAATACCTTGAGCCTGGCCAACCAGAGAGCCTTGGATGGAGACTCCCAGTCTTTGCAGCAAGCTGGGTGTGTAGGTTTCTACCTTTAGGATGTGACTTCCCAACCTGACGAGGAGCCAAGATGCTTGAGAAATTGCCATTTCCATATCATTTGTCAGTTTCTCTCAGCAGATGGTGCTCTTGAGACCTTCACCCACATGAGTTCAGAGGGCAAGAGCTCCAATTTGGCTACCTCCCAAACTAAAGATCTTCGTGTCCAAGCATTGTCACCAGGAAGCGTATTGCTGAATAAATGCATTCTTGAGTTAATGAATGGGAGGCAGAAAGCCCTGATGCAGTGTCAAAGGAGGGCCTGGTCATCTGGGGGTTTGTCTGGCAATTGAGCCAGGGGCCACCTTCTCTACTTCCCTCTGTAGGGTCGTGAGACTTTGAGGAAGAGACACAGCCCCTGGTGCCTGGAGACCTGGTTTTTAGTCCTGGCTCTGATTCTTAGCTTGCTGTGTGATCTCAGGTTTTCACTTGTTCACCACAGCACCTACTTCCCCCTTCATAAAAGGGAGACAGCACCAGTGGGGCTCAAACCCTTTGATAAAAGCTAATATTTTTAGGCTGGGCATGGTGGCTCACACCTGTAATCCCAGCACTTTGGGAGGCCAAGGTGGGTGTATGGCTTGAGCTCAGGACTTTGAGACCAGCCTGGGCAACATGTTGAAACCCCACCTCTATCAAAAATACAAAAAATTAGCCAGGTGTGGTGGCACTCACCTGTGGTCCCAGCTACTTGGGAGGCTGAGGTGAGAGGATCGCTTGAACTCAGGAGTTTGAGACCAGCCTGGACAACATAGTGAGATTTCATCTCTACAAGAAAAATTAAAAATTAGCTAGGTGTGGTGATACATACCTGTAGTCCTAGCTACTTGGGAGGGTGAGGCAGGAGGATCGCTTGAGCCCAGAAGTTTGAGGTTGCAGTGAGCTATGGTCATGCCACTGCACTCCAGCCTGTGTGATGGAGCAAGACTCAATGCCTATATATATATATGTATTACGTAAAATATATGCAAATATATAAAATATATTAATTTTGTGTGTGTGTGTGGGTGTGTGTGTGTGTGTGTTTAACGGCTGTCAATTCTTTGACACCTCTCTCTTCGAGTGATGAGTTCTATGTCACTTCTCCTTGAATCTGGGCTGACTTTAGTGACCCTGTTAAAATCAATGGGGTATAGTGGAATTAATGCTGTGTGTTTTTGAGGCTGAGTCTTAAGAGGTGAACCAGCTCCCACCTTATTTGCTGGAACATTCTTTCTTGCACCCTGGGCCACCATATAAGAAACCCAGCTTCCCAACTTCCCTGAGACTGCCCTATGGTCAGGCCATGTGTGGATGCTGTGGTGAACCGCCCAGCTGAGTAGCTGACAGCCGGTGTCACTTGGCAGCTATAAGTAAGCCACCGTAGATCCCCAGACCAATTGCGCCATCAAATGCCTTTAGCATCTGCCAACATTTGGCTGCACTATATGAGAGACCCTGGGCAAGAGCTCCCCAGCTAAGCCCTTCCAGAATTCCGGACACACAAAATCGTGAGCAAAATAAAATGATTGTTTCAGGCCACCAAATGGTGGGTTAATTCGTTACTCACCAGTGGTAACTAGAACACACTCAGAGATGGAAAGGGATTGCCCCAAGACCTCCATGGGAGGTGGCAGACCAGGGCTTAGAATACAGCTTACCTAACCCTCAGCCAGAGTTCTTTCTGCCTGCTCCAATGTGAGGTTGAGACTGTTTCTCAAGCTCTGGGGAGACGCTCCCCAGTGGATATTCTAACCAGGATGGGAAGTGTCAAGCTGTGTAACAGATCTCTGTGCACGACGCCAGGGAACACAGAAGAAAGGTCACATTCCTTCCAGGAAGAAGCGACAAATCTCCTATACAGAAGAATTCCAAATAATTGATGTAAATTCTCTGCAGTCATGGCAGGGGAGCCTAACTCCAACACCTTTGGGGTGATCTGAGTGTAGTGACTTCCTTCCAAACACTGCAATATAGAAAGGGGGAACAAAGAATAGCTTTACAATGGAGAGCCCTGGCAAACAGTACCTACACCAGGTGATCAAGTGGTAGGGGAGAAAAGATTTCATTTTCTCACCCACCACTAAGTTCATGGCTGAGGCACCTGTTACAAAGGACAGGTGAACAAGAGAAAGGCACATACAATTTTATTTTTATTTTATTTTATTTTATTTTGTTTATTTTATTTTCTGAGATGGAGTCTCACTCTGTTGCCCAGGTTGGAGTGCAGTGGCATGATCTCAGCTCACTGCAACCTCCGCCTCCCAGGTTCAAGCGATTCTCCTGCCTCAGCCTCCCGAGTAGCTGGGACTACAGGCACGCACAACCACGCCTGGGTACTTCTTGTAGTTTTAGTAGAGACAGGGTTTTACCATGTTGGCCAGGCTGGTCTTGAACTCCTGACCTCATGATCCACCTGCCTCAGCCTCCCAAAGTGCTGGGATTACAGGCATGAGCCACCGTGCCCAGCCCACACAATTATTTAATACAAATTTTATGGGACATGAAAGCCTGCAGAAATGAAGACCCAGGGAAAGAGAAAAACTTGTATGCTTAGGTTTGATGATGAGTGAATGGTTGCAGGGAAGTATGACTGAAGGACAAAGGGTATAATCTAATAGTAATAAACTGGGAGAACTTAACAAGGCCTGTTTGATTAGATTCTTGGCATCTCTGTGGCTTCAGTGTTAAGCATGTTCTTTTATCTAGAGAGGATATCTCTCAAATGACCTGCTTCAGGGGAGAAGGGCAGGTGGATGGATGGTCAGAGAGTGACCTTCTTAAGTTTTATGATCTTCTGCTGCTGTTTTCTGTAATGCCAAGGTGCCATATTTTGGGTTATCGTGTCCTGAACCCCATCAAAGGAAATTATCCATGATGATGTCATGCATGTACCCTTGATAGAATATGAGGAAAGTGGCACTTTGCAGTCTTCCTCCCAAATCCTAATCATGCGAAAAATATCAGAAAAATTCCAACTGGGGCACATTCTGCAACATAACTGACCAGCATTTCTCAAAGCTGTCAAGGTCATCGAAGCCAAGGAGAGTCTGAGAAACTCACAGCCAATAGAATCCTAAGGAGAATTGAGGACTAAATGTAATGTGGGATCTTGGATGGGATCCCAGGACAGAAAAAGGACATTAGGCAAAAGTTAAGGGAATCTGGAAAAAGTAGGGACTTTATTTAATGACGATATATTAATATTGGTTCTTTAGCTATGACAAATGTGGCAGAGTAGTGTAAGATGTTAACAGCAGGGAAGATAGGGGGTGAGTTATATAGGAACTCTCTGTATTATCTTTACAACTTTTATGTAAATCTAAAAATATTCTAAAATTTAAAAAGGAAAGATAAAAAGTGTTGGCAAGGGTGTGGATAAAAGGGAACCTTTGTACACTGTTGGTGGGAATGCAAATTAGTGCAGCCATTACGGAAAACAGAATGGAGGTTCCTCAAAAACTGAAAATGGAACTATCATATGATCCAGCAATTCCACTCCTGATATGTGTCCAAAGGAAATGAAATCAGTATGTCAGAGAGACATTGGCATTCCCATACTCATTGCGATATGATTCACAATAGCCAAGATATAGATGGAATCAACCTAAGTATTCATTGATGGATGGGTAAAGAAAACGCGGCATATATACACAATGGAATATTATTCTGACCTTAAATGAAAGGAAATCCTGTCATTTTTGACAACATGGATGAACCTGGAGAACATTGTGCTAAGTGAAATAAGCCAGACACAGGAAGTCAAATACCATATGATCTCACTTACATGTGGAATCTGCAGAAGTTGAACTCAGAAGTAGAGATTAGAATAGTAGGTACCAGAGTCTGGGGGTGGGGAGAGAATGGGGAAATGTGGGCCAAAGAATACAAACCTCTGGTTCGAGTTGGTGTTTGAAATATAAGTGAAAAATGAGTATAAGATATATATTTAAAATTATAAAATATTAAAAAATTAAGAAGGGTACAAAGTGTCAGATAGAAGAAATAAATTTTTGAGATCTATTGCACAGCATGGTGACAAATGTTAATAATACCGTATTGTATGTTTCAAAATTGCTCGGCTGGGCGCGTTGGCTCACGCCTGTAATCCCAGCACTTTGGGAGGCTGAGGCGGGCGGATCATGAGGTCAGCAGATCGAGACCATCCTGGCTAACACGGTGAAACCCCGTCTCTACTAAAAATACAAAAAATTAGCTGGGCATGGTGGTGGGCGCCTGTAGTCCCAGCTACTTGGGAGGCTGAGGTAGGAGAATGGCATGAACCCGGGAGGCAGAGCTGGCAGTGAGCCGAGACCGCACCACTGCACTCTAGCCGGGCCAACAGAGCGAGACTCCTTCTCAAAAAAAAAAAAAAAAATGCTAAGAAAGTAAAATTCAGATGTTCTCACCACAAAAAAATGGTAAGCATTCGAGATGATGGATAAGTTAATTATCTCAATTAACCATTCCACCATATATACAAATATCAAAATAATCACACTGTACCCAACAAATATATATAATTGTTGCCAATATAAAATTTAAAAAAAAGAAAAGAAAGAAAAAGAGGCCACATGCCAAGGCTGCTCCCAGCTGTGTGAAGGAAACTGATTTTATAAGCTACGTGGCTTCTCTTTGTCCTTCCCAAACCTCTCACCCTAGGGTGTTACCCTTCCTCCACCAGGGAATGGAAAGAACACAAGGTTCAGAGTCAAACAGGTGGAGACCACCCCAGCCCTGCGGCTGACTGGTTTCAGGAGCTTGGCTAAGTCACTCAGCCTCGCTGGGTCTGTAAAATGCAGAAACGTCTATCCCACGCTGAATTTATAGGATTAAATGAAGCAATGTGTTAAAGCACTTCTAAAGGTATAAAAGCTTTTATAATCTTCTTTAGACCCACAGACTTGAATGACTGTTTTAAAACATGTTTTAAATATGCAGTTTCCGAAAGTATACACTTACCATATACACAATTTTATATGAATCCGTGGTGGGATCACCTACATGCCTGGCATGTGTGTGCAGTCTTTTGTTTTCTTTTCCTTTTTTACTTATTCTTCCTCCTTTTCTCCTCCCTGCCTTTCATCTAGTATGTATACCTCTCTATTTTTCTCCATATTTTATAGCCCTATATATATATTTGCATATCTGTGTAGTTATACATATACACATATACATGCATAACAGCCATGGGCAAGGTTGCTACTATTTACAAAAAAAAAGTTGGATCATAATATGTATGCTTTTTTTTTGCATCTTACTTTTCTTCCTTAAAACACGTGTTAATGTTTTAAGTTATTTGATAATGCCCTGTTTCATCTTTTTAGCATCCTTGTACATATTCTGATGTTTTTATTTCTTCAGGTTACATTCCCAGAGTGATATTTCTGGGTGGATAAAAGCAAAGTGTATTTTCTGTCTTTTTAATTTTAGCAGATGTTGCCAGGGCCGCATGTGGATGACTTAACTTGTAATGTCACTGCACTTGTCACTGTAGCAAGGAGAAAGCCTTGACCTGAGAGTCAGGCGGAAGTCAGCTCTGCAAGGGATGGGCTGTGTCACTTTGGACAAGTTGGCTTCCCTCTCTGGGCTTTGATTTTGTAGTGGGTAAAATAGGTGGTTGGTCTAAGACAGTGTTGTTTAAATTAACAATGCAGCTGATGTCCTCATAAATAAAATATTTGTGATGCCCTATTTACGAAACAGAGATAGAGGATACTCTGAGGAAGCAGAGTCCCTGCCTTCTTGATCTTTCCTATATGCCCTCGGAGGGTCCTTCAGCATCTCTCAGAAGAGAAGACTATGCTGAGCACAGTTAGAACTCACGGGCATTTCCGGAAGTCCTATATTCCAAGTGTGTGCCAGTGACGCCTCCCAAAGAGCAAGATCAAGGGCTTGTTTTTCCATGTGCCTCTTGAACCCCCTCCCCACTTAATCCTAACCATATTTAAGCCTGATGATCCCCATTCCAGGTATTTGTACAAAATTCCTTTCCATCCTCTCCCCAGAAAGAATACCAAGGGCTGGGCCAAAAGAAAAGAGTTAAAGCAAGGAGTACTTCTAGATACCCTCACATAGACCCTCACTTCCAGGGGCTTCACTCCGTCAAGAGGAATTTTAAAACTTTCTGTGAAAAAAATATAAAACCCAATGTTAGCAAAGATGTGGAGAAACAGGCATTCTCATACCATTCTCCCAATTCATCCTTTCATAGAATTCCTGGTAGGATGAATTGATACATCATTTCTGGAGAGCAGTTTGGCAAAGTGAATTTAATGTCTCATAAAAATGCATGTGGATTGATCAGGAATTTCCTTCTGGAAGTTGGTCTTAGGGAAGTTATCAGTCAAGTACGCCAAGATCTATACACAAATCTGTTCATTTTAACCTTACTTATAAAAATAATTTCTAATAGCACACCCAGGGATTTCACTTCCAGTAAATGCCTTACAGCAGAGTTATATGGAAATACACTTTTTTTCTTTTTCGAGACAGAATCTCACTCTGTCACCCTGGCTGGAGTGCAGTGGCATGATCTCAGCTCACTGCAACCTCTGCTTCCCAGGCTCAAGCGATTCTCATTCTCCTGCCTCAGCCTTCCAAGTAGATGGGACTACAGGCAGGTGCCACCACACCTGGCTAATTTTTGTATTTTTAGTAGAGAAGAGGTTTCACCATGTTGGCCAGGCTGGTCTTGAAAGCCTGACCTCAAGTAATCCACCCACCTCAGCCTTCCAAAGTGCTGGGATTACAGGCATAAGCCACTGCACCCAGCCAAGAAATACAAATATTTTTACTAGATATTGTTGAGTGAGGAAATTTCTCATGTGATCCATTTTTAATTATGAAAGGATATAATATTTAAATGTGCATTAGGATATTTCACAAAATGTTAACATGATCCTTGGTGATGAAAAATCTTGGGTAATGTATTTGTCATTACAGTCTGTAATTTGTGTATTTTCCGCAAAAGTGGACATGGATATTTACTGTATAAAAATATAAAAATACATGAATAAATATATTTATATGGATTACATTGGTCAGAAGAGTGACTCATGAATCTGTTTCCTTTTAGAAATGGAAATCTTTTTAATTTTAAAAGCAAAAAAGTTTGCTTGTTGCAAAAAATAAGGAACTCTGGAAGACAATTTTACGTATGTACACATTGTACACATATGTACACATTTTTATTTTCTGATTGATGTTGCACAGTGTTCTGCTGTCACAAAAAAAAAGCTTTGACACAACAACATGAATGAATCTCAAGAGTATTTTGCTTAATAAATGAAGCCAGACTCAGAGGTTACATACTCTATGGCTCCATTTATATGACATTCTATAGGAATGGAAACAGATTAGTAGTTGAAGAGCCTGATGGTTGGAGAAGGGCTGACAGTAAAGATGCAGCCCTAGGAAAATGTGGAGGATGGTAGAACTGCTCAGTATCTTGAGTATAGCAATCATTTGTCAAAAACACATAGACCTATCTACCAAAACAATTGAATTTTACTCAGTGTAGATTTAAAATAAACAATAATTTTAAAAGATGATTCAAAGAGTAGGAGTCTTGCTCACTTACCCTGCAATAGCATTGGATAAATCCTCACAATTCTAATTGCTTGAAGCTACACATATAGATACTGCAGCTCTACTCTTTAATTTCTTGGAGGTTGGGGATCTAAAATCTTCCCCAACTCTGCCTTGGCAGAGCCTGTCCAGCAGAGAAGGAAGTGACTCTGGGATTGAGAGCTGCAGGTGCCAGCACTGTGCACCTGCTCAATCAATACAGCATACCCAGGAAACCTGAGACCATATTAGCTGTGTTTTAAAGAACTTTCAGTGCCCCAGACGAAACTGATCTATGGATTCATGTTCCTTATTCTATACTGCAAGGTGTCTGGAAATTCTGCAGTAACCAAGTATTGTCACCTGTTTCCCTTAGAACTCATCCACTGATAGCCGGGGGGCAGAGGTTGCAGTGAGCCGAGATCACGCCATTGCACTCCAGCCTGGGCAACAAAAGCAAAAATACAACTCAAAAACAAACAAACAAACAAAAACCAAGAAAACAAGAACTCATCTGCTGGTAGCAACATTTTACTGGCCGAAGAAAACACTGTTGCTTCACAGCAAACTATGTAAGGTCTAACTCACCCATCGTTCTTGCAGTTCTCTCTGCTTTCTCATTCCCCAGTAAACCCCAAGGTCACCTCCAAGCTTTCATCATTAAAGGGGAGGGAAGAGGTCATCAGTAGAGCACCTGTGTGCCAGACATTGAGCCAAGCACTTTATATCACTGCAGCCTCTTCCTGGCAGTATGATCTTGAGAAAGTGTCTTAACTTCTCTGAACCTTTACCCTTACTTGTTGAATGGAGATATTAATAACACTCACCTCTCAGAGTTATTGTGAAGATTGAGTTAATGGAAGTAAAGCACTTACAATATGTCTAATAGATAGTAACTGCCCAAAACATAGTAATTATTATTAATAGTAGTAATCATGTTGCTATCATTATTATCACAAGAATTATTCATTAAGTGTTTACTATGCATCAGGCACTGTGCTTGGCAAATTGCATATATCACCTCATTTAATTCTTTTACTGAACCCAGTGAGGCAATTATCAAGGTAGATTTGAATGCATTATTTCGAGTGGACGTTTTGATTCCCATTATACAGGTGAAAATATAAGGCTCAGAGAGGTTGAGTAACTTGCACAAGCTCACACAGTAATGGGAATACAGGTCTATCAGATTTCCAAGCCCACCCTTACAACACCAAGGGAGTAGAGTAGTAGAGCAAAACCTTTAATGATATTCCCCAAGTCCCAGACTTGACTTTGAATGTCAACTTTTTGCTGTATGGCCTTAGGCAATTACTCAACCTCTCTGAATCTGAAAAATGGGAGGATACTGGTACCTACCTTTAAAGGTGTTACCAGTATTTAAAGAGTGGGGGATGGGCCAGGCACGATAGCTCACATCTGTAATCCCAGCACTTTGGGAGGCTGAGGCAGGTGATCACCTGAGGTCAGGAGTTCAAGACCAGCCTGCCTAACATGGTGAAACCCCATCTCTACTAAAAATACCAAAATTAGCCGGGCATGGTGGCACATGCTTGTAATCCCAGCTACTGAGGAGGCTGAGGCAGGAAACTCGCTTGAACCCGGGAGGTGGAGGTTGCAGTGAGCCAAGATTGCACCACTGCACTCCAGGCTGGGCGACAGAGTGAGACTCTGTTTAAAAAAAAAAGAGTGGGAGATGGAAATTGAAGCCACTTAGCACAGTGTCTGTTATGTGGTGAGTCGTCAAACAAAGATGATGATGATGACAATTTATATCTCTCAGCTTCTAGGCACATAGATACCTATTTCAGCTAACAAATTGCTACAGTAGTTTGTTTCAGAAATTATAAAGACACATGCACCCTTATGTTCATTGCAGCACTATTCACAATAGCAAAGACATGAAATCAACCTAAATGCCCATCAATGGTAGACTAGATAAAGAAAATGTGGTACATATATACCAAGGAATACTATGCAGCCATAAAGAAGAATGAGATCCTGTCTTTGGCAGGGACATGGATGAAGAAGGTGGAGGCCATTCTCCTTAGCAAACTAACACAGGAGCAGAGAGCCAAATACCACATGTTCTCACTTATAAGTGGGAGCTAAATGATGAGAACACATGGGCACTTAGAGAGGAACAATATACACTGGGGCCTTTTGGAGGGTGGAGGGTGGAGAAGGGAGAGGAAAAATAACCAATGAGTACTATGCTTAATACCTGAGTGATGAAATAATCTGTACTATGAATCCCCATGACACATGTTTACCTATATAACAAACCTGCACTTGTACTCTCTGAAGTTAAAATATTTTTTTTTTTGAGGGACAGTCTCGCTCTGTTGCCCAGGCTGGAGTGCAATGGCACGATCGCGGCTCACTGCAACCTCTGCCTCCCAGGTTCAAGCCATTCTCCTGCCTCGGCGTCCTGAGTAGCTGGGATTACAGGCGCCCGCCACCATGACTGGCTAATTTTTTGTATTTTTAGTAGAGACGGGGTTTCACTATGTTGGCCAGGCTGATCTCTAACTCCTGACCTCGTGATCTGCCTGCCTTGGTCTCCCAAAGTGCTGGGATTACAGGCGTGAGCCACCGCGCCCAGCCAAAATAAAAGTTTTTTTAAAAAATTCCTTAAAGTGAAACATTTCATTTTATTTCATTCCAGCTTTTGCCTGCATAGTCTGAAATTGCTACTGATCATTCTTTACACATCTTGTTTAGTCTGTCTGGGAAGCTGAATGGACACTTGGCGGGAATGGCTTGGATGGAAAGCCCAAGATGGAGGTTAGAACCTCATAAGTAATAAACATTCATGCTCGTGCACATGCGCACACAAATGGTGCTGTCAACATTTGCCTAAAGTGTAAGCTGCTTATAAAAATGTTTTACTTTCCTAGCTCCATGGTTTATTCATTTAACATTCCTCATTAAGGGTTTAGATCTATATCAAAATGGGGTTATTTTTATTTTAAAAACATATGATTATTTCCTGATTAAAAATTGTTATGTACTTAATGGAAAAAGTTAAACACATATGGAAGTATATCATGTAGAGGAAATCATGACTGTCTTAAAATCTCCTGTCTTCCCCATTCCACTCCCTAAAATAACCATAGCTGGCAGTTTGTGGTATGTTTTAGAAAAAAATGTGTGAAGATGGTAGACAAGATAGAGAATGATCTGGACTGGGTGGACATTGATGAGATAAAATGATGAGACGGAATATCAAGTACTGTTTCATCCTACAAACTAACTGAATAAAGACTGGATGGGAAGAATGTCACAGGGTACATGAGAGAGAAAAAAGACATTAGAGGATTCTAGTTGAGGTTAAGCTTAGCAATACTGAATCATTTACTGGTGATTCCCCCTACCTTGCCCTTCAGAAAAGAAATTAATTCTGACTATCAGAGAGTTTATATTCTGGTAAGAGAAATGGACATTAAACAAAAAAATCATATATATGTGTGTGTGTGTATTACATTGTTATGTTATATTATATTATATTACATTATAACATCTATGTATATAATTTCCATTGCGATAAATGCTGTAGAGTAATAGGTCTCAAACAAGAGTGATTTTGCTCCCCATGGTACATTCAGCAATATCTAGAGATATTTTTGGTTGTCACAACTGAAGGGAAACAGAAGTGGTTCTGGGGTCTAGTGGGTAGTGGCCAGGGATGCTGCTCAACATCTTAAAATACACACGGCAGTTCCCCCAACAAAGAATTGTCCAAAGCAAAATGTGAATAGTTCTGGTTACATAGAGCTAGGAATCCATATCACATGTAAACATAAAGCCACCAATTCAGTGGTTTTATGCAACAGAGGCTGCTTCTTGCTCATATGAATTCCAATAATTAATTCGTAAAGCAGTTAACCCTCTGATGAATTATCAAGAGCCCACTTTTATTAGTCTGTTCTCACGCTGCTAATAAAGACATATCCAAGACTGGGTAATTTATAAGAGAAAGAGGTTTAATTAATTCACAGTTCCACTGGGCTGGGGAGGCCTCAGGAAACTTACAATCATGGTGGAAGGGGAAGCAAACACATCTTTCTTCATATGGCAGCAGCAAGAAGTTCAGAGCGAAGTTGGGGAAAAGTCCCTTATAAAACCATCAGATCTTGTCAGAACTCACTCACCATCACGAGAACAGCACGGAGGTAACCGCCTCCATGATTCAATTACCTTTCACCGGGTTCCTCCCAAGACATGTGGGGATTATGGGAACTGCAATACAAGATGAGATTTGGGTAGGGACACAGCCAAACCATCCCACCACGTCATAGGAGAGGAATCAGAACCTCTCAACTTCAATCCCACCCCAATATTACACAGTGGTAGAAACATCCAACCATTAAGCTTGAAAGCGAAACAGTAAAACCAACACAGATTCAGCTTCTGTCGGGGTTGTTCCTTTGGATGTGTGGGTACTATGAATAACCTCCAATAAAGACGAGAAAATAAATCATTGAGCCCAGACTGGTACGGAAAACAATGACTGAATCAATTCAAATCACATAAGCTCTACTTTCAAATATCTTAAATGTCTTTACTTTTGTCCATCTTTGTTACACTACCACAGTACCTATCACACCACCATCACCCTTAGCCTGGAGGAAGACAGTAGGAACCTAATTGCCTTCCTCCATACCTTCTAACTGCACGCTCCACACAGCAGCCAGAATGTTACTTTTCAGAAATTTTTATTTTAATCAAAAAAGGCATGTGCGTGAATTTTTTTGAGTTAATAGTGAGAATTTATAAATGGTTCTGCAAATTAAAGAGAATTCTGTCTCTGAAAGGCAACCAGGAGAGTGTTTCTGTTCTTCTGTTATTTGCTCACAAGCAAAAATTCGAAAAGCCGATGAAAGCCCCTTAGTGCTTGCAGGTAGCCACTTTCTTATCAAAACAAGACAAAAGAGTAAATCGAACCATCCAGAAAATCACGTATCCACCCCTTAAAAATATTAATTGAGAAAATCTCACACAGTGACAGTGTGAACAATGTGCGTGATATTTTAAAACTCAAAAAGTACTAAAAACTTTTTATGTAAAATTGGTCAATTCTGTTCCTCTCCATCCTTAGTTCAATCCCACTACCCATAGGTGACTAATTTCTTCTAGGGTTTATCTGCATAAAACTAAATAATATACACATACTGTCATTTTTCTTTATCAATTTTAGTCTGTTAACTCCTCTTATGGTAGATAAGGATTTAGCTCCCTTATAACTACCTCTCCTCTTTATTTTCTCCCTGTCCTGTAAATTTTTGGTTAAATATTCAGTGTCTACATTGTTATGACTGTACTAATTTTCTTAAAAGCTGAGCTAAATAATACCTTCTAATCATCTTACTGACTTGGTTAGCTTTCCATTTTTTCCTGGAGTTGACAATTGCCTCTTTTTTTCCATTTGTTTAACTATCTGTATTTTTTAAATTACTCCACCATACTTATCAAATGTCTACCAGTATTATTTTGTAAGTGCTGAATGAACTTTTAAAAACATAGACCTTGTTACACCCCTTTTTAAAACTCTTCAGTTAATTCCCATAGCACTCAGAATGAAATCCCAACTCTCTACCTTGGTCAATAGAACTCTGCATGACCTAGCCTCTGCCTACTTTTCCAAGCCTTCTCAAGCCAACCTCCCTGTCTTTGTAGACTTTTTACATTTCCTAGAATACTCAAGCCCCCTGTTTCCCTGTCTCTTTGCCTGGATAGTTCATTCTTAAACTTCAGATCTTTTTTGAAATGTCTCCTCACAGAGGCTTTCTGTATCCATTGTTTATAAATTAATGCCGCCATCTCATTATTTTACTGCTTTCCTCTTTTATACATTTCAAGGTTTTTTCATTGCCTTTTCTGTATTCCCTGATGTTTCTCTCTCCTCCTTACTCACCTTAATTTTCATGATTAATCGTTATAATGACAACTTCCTTCCTTCATTCACTTCATAGAAGTCACTTGGCAAAATCAAAAACTTGTTTATTCAACTCTACCTTTTTTTTTTTTTTTTTTGCCTCATACCCATGCAGTTGAATGTAGCTGAGGGGAAAAGCATACAACTGCAATAATCATAACTACAAACCCCTTAAAGCTGCCAAGCAATAATTTTCTATTCCCCTATGACATTGATGTTCTCAGTCCTAGAAGACTATTGTGCATCTCATCTTTACACCTGAAACCCCTGATGCCTCCTTCTCCTCCTTCACTCCCAATTGACAATCTTGCTTTTTACTGTTTTGGGAAAATAGAAGCAGTCAGAGGAGAACTTCTCTGGACTCCCACATAGGGTCTATCTACCTACTCTTTGCTCTCTCCTGATTTTACAGAGAAACGTCTCAGTTTTGACTCCTAAGTGCATGCTCACTTGGGTACGTAGACACCATTCCTTCTCAACTATTGAAGAACAGCAGTCCAACAGTTCTGCCTCTTCCCTCCCATGGCATCATTTTTCCCTCCCAATTGGGTCATTTCCATGAGTATGCAAACTTCCCACTAAGTCTTCAATTTTAGAAAAAAAAAAAGCCTTCCTTTGACCTCACATCCCTCACCATCTACATTCCTATTTCTTTACTTAATTTTGAAATGAAACACCTTGAAATATCATCTGTACCCACTTTATCTAATTCTTCTCCTTCCATTCTTTCTTAGACCCACCTTTGCCCTGACCACTTGACCAAACTTCTTTTGTCAAGGTTACCATTTTTTTCCCACATTGCTAAGTCCAATGTTCTATTTCCCAACCTCTTACTGAATCAGCAGCGGTAGTTATAACACATTATCACTTTCTCTTCTATGGAAAATTCTTATCACTTGGCTTAGCAGATACCAAACACACTTTGTGGTTCCCTTTCTACCTCACTGTGTGCTCCTTCTCAGCCTCCTTCACTGATTCTTCCTCCAATCCCCTCCCTCTTTATGGTGGATCCCCCACTCTGCCCTCGGTCATCTTCTCTGCCTACCCTCACTCTGTCTCTGTCTACACTCTGTCTACACTCACTCCCTTGGAGTTGTCATTCAGTCTTATGGCTTCAAATGCCATCTATCTGCTGACCACATCCACATTTACATCCATTTGTAAGATTTTTCCCTGGGTTCATCCTCAGATCTATCTATTATGTTTGTTTTTCAAGGGGCTATCTTCTTTTCATGCATTTGATTCATTTCCTTATTCTTTAGGCATTTTAAACATATTTATTTTAAAGTCATTTCCAGATTCAAATTCCTGTCTTAGCTCTAATTCTTTGGGTGTGAATTCTTCTCAGGCTCCACACAGCTGTATTGTTGTTGTTGTTGTTGGCTTCTTGGTTGAGTGTTTCCACCTGAGCAGGTTGTGCAAGTTCCAACATTACACACATGTCAAAGGCTTGAGATTCTAATTTTTCACAATGAATTCTGTTTCATACCACAGCTTAAGAGAAACATCCTGGTATGGGTTGTGTACTCTGGCCATTGGGTTTAGTCTTTCTGATACACAGTCATGGACAGCATGGCCCCTTCCTGACTCCTAGATTTATTTAGAGAGCTCACTTCCAGCTTCCTGTTGTCAGTGTCCATGACCTTGACCTTGACTCTCATTCCTTATTGGGCATTAAGCCCAGCCCCTTTATTCCAATTGATTACTGTCTTTCTCTTCCCTTCCCTTCCTTTCCCTTCTCTCCTTCCTTTCCTCTTTCCCTCCCTTCCTTCCTTCCTTTACTTATATCTTCACTCAATTTGCTTTATTTTTAAAATGAAAAATGCATAAATTTAAGGTGTCCAACATGATGTTTTGATATACATAGTGAAATGATTAGTACAGTCAAGCAAATTAACATTTCCATCTCCTCATATACTTAACCTTTGTATGTGTGTGGTAAGAACCCCTAAAATCTACTCTTAGCAAATTTTAGGTATGCAATATATTATTAACTATAGTCACCATGTTGTACATTAGGTCTGCAAAATTTATTCATCTTGTAACTGCAAGTTTGTGCCCTTTGATCAACATCTCCCCATTTTTTCCCAGCCCTCAACTCCTGGTAACCACTGTTCCATTCTCTGTTTCTATGTATTTGACTTATTTAGATTCCACATATAAATGAGATCATGCAATATTTTTTTCTTCTGGGTCTGGCTTATTTAACTCAGTATAATATCCTACACAATCATCCATATTGTTGCAAATGGCAAAGTCACCTTCTTTAAGGCTCCATCATATTCCATGGTGTGTGTGCGTGTGTTTGTGTGTGTGTGGGTGTATGTGTGTGTGTGTGTGTGTGTGTATGTGTATAACATTTTCTTTATCCAGTCATCCACTTAGGTTGTCTTCATGTCTTGGTTATTGTGGATAATGCTACAGTGAATATGGGACTGCAGATATCTCTTCAGGGTACTAATTTCATTTCCTTTGGGTATATACCCAGCAGAGGGATTGCTGGGTCATATTGTAGTTCAAGTTTTAATTTTTTGAGGAACCCCTATATTGTTTTCTGTAAAGGCTGTACTAATGTACCTTCCCACCAATAGGGTACAAGAGTTCCCAATGTGCCCATTGATTTTAACTCCCATTTCCTGTTATCACTTGCAAACCCTCTTATATTTTTGCCACCCGAAGAGTTCCCCTTCTTACATTTGAGATTTGCTGTATGTTAAACACTTTTGGTTACATGTTTTTCCAGAATTTCTCTATTTGGAGTAGGAGCCTCTGCCTCCTTCATTCTCTGTTATGTAACACTTATATTTTCTTCAATGCACCATTTATTTTATTTTGTTTGCTTATTATCGGTGCCCCAGGAAAATGTAAACCCATGAGGGTAAGGGCCATGTCTGTCTAATCCCTTGTCCTACTTTTCTGTGGCAGACAGTTTGTGGGCCCCACCTAGATTCCCTTAACATTCACTATTTCCATACATGCCAGTGGCTTCTTACTGCAAACATTGTGACTCTGCCCTGGGGGATTTCTTTGCCTGCAGGAGTGCCAGGTTCACATACTGGACAGGCTGGTAGGTCAGAGAGTCATCCCCTGGGAGTACTCTTTGATTCGTGAGAGATGGAAGCTAGTGAATAAATATTTCAGCTTTTCTTGCCTCTCACCTGGGCTGACTCTGAGACATTTTTCTGAGAAATGTTTTATGCAGTCTTTCCGAGGTCTGCAGTGGGACCAAATGCCAGCTGCCCACACTAGCAACATGCTTTCAAACACCGTATTGGTTGTTATCTTGCCCTGTCTCATTTTGTCATCCACCTTCCAAATTACTTTCACTCACAACCTTTTATTGGGTCTGCTTCTGGATAAAAAAATTCAAGCTGAGACACCCTATGGCTCAGAAACGTTCCTGGGGATACAACTGGATCCACTCTGAATGAATGAATGAATGCATATGAAGAAATTGTATCCAGGTCAAGCACAGTTGCTCACGCCCGTAATCCCAGCACTTTGGGAGGTGAAGGTGGGAGGAGCTTGAGCTGGTAACCACTGTTCCATTCTCTGTTTCTATGTATTTGACTTATTTAGATTCCACCTATAAATGAGATCATGCAATATTTTGGAGATCAGCCTGGGCAATAGAGTGAGACCCCATCTTAACAAAAAATTTAAAAATTATCTAGGCATGGTAATGAGCATCTGTACTCCCAGCTACTTGGGAGGCTGATCTGGGAGGACTGATTGAGCACAGCAGGTTGAGGCTGCAGTGAACCATGACTGTGCCACTGCACTCCAGCCTGGGGGACACAGCAAGACCCTGTCTCAAAAATAAATTTTAAAAAACCAGTTTTTAAAAAGGAGAAATTGCATTCAAATCCCCTAAAAGTAAAACAAGTTGCAGTTTGAAGAATTGGCATGCTACCCTTAGGCTTAAGACAGTGAAAATATCCAGGGAGTGTAATAGAGGGGAGGGAAGGGGCAGATGTGTGTCATTTGTCCATTGTCATCACTTTAAATAGAGTTCAATAGGGTATCATTCTTTCTCCTACCCATGGGACAATAGTGACTCCTGTTCAGCTTCTCCCATACTTTGTAGTACATAAACAATGATGTAGTGAACATCCTAATAATTGCATCTTTGCACATTTCTATGAGAATTGCTGTAAGAGAAATTCCTGGAAATTGCTATGAGTGTCATAAACTGTGAGTCTTTTGCATTTATCAGATCTGCCAAATTGCTCTCCAGTTTTGCATTCCTCACATCCTTAACAACAATAAGTGTAACCCACATGCTTCCTCTTTGCCAGTTTTGTATATGAATCGCAGACTTTTTGTGGCTAGAATTTGCACGTCCACAAATGTGAGTGAGGCTGATTTTCTTCTTCTGTGTTTATTACTTCTCCAAATTCTGAATCAGGAGAAAAGGAAATAGGCAGAGGGAGGTGTACAATTGGACAAAGATTATCAGAACTATTCAAAAGCCCATGCTTTTGAATAGTTTCCCAGTGGGTGGGAAAATGAGATGTTTTTGTTTTGACATGATTTCAGACGATCGTAACGAGAAAGAAATAAAATTTAGTTGATCATATTCAAAATTCTGAAGGACTGAAAGAAAGTTAAAGATGTTTACCCAATGAAGGAAGTCAGTGCAAGAGGTAGCTTGCACAAACAGGCCCCAGGGCTGGACGAGATGGTTCATGAGATGGCAAGACTGGCATACCATCGGTTGGGCGATTAAACTAAGGTCTCTTAGTTTGCCCACGATTTTATTTTCTATCATGGTGAAAGAGTTGTCATTTTTCTCTTTTATAAACAAACACAAGGGTGGTATGAAGGTGGCCTGCCTTTCAAAGGGCCCCCAGTGATCCCTTCCTGCTGGTATTCACACCTTTGTTTAACCCCCCACCTCTTGAATATAGGCTGCACTTATTACCTGTTTCAAAATGATAGAAGATGGCACAAGTTATGGGGTGTCTCTTCAATATCTAGGTTATAAGGGACTGTGACATCTGTCTTGCTAGCAGAATCTCTCTATTGCCTTCTGAGCTGGCACGATTTGATGAAGCAAGAATCTGTGTTGGAGAAGCCCACATGACAAAAAAAAGAGGGTGGAGGCCAGGTGCAGTGGCTCACACCTGTAATCTCAGCACTTTGGGAGGCTGAGGCGGGAGAATTGCTTGAGCTCAGGAGTTCAAGACCAGCCTGGATAAGATAGTGAGACCCCGTCTCTACAAAAAATAAAAATAAAAAATTAGCTGGGCATGGTGGTGCGTGCCTATAATCCCAGCTACTTGGAAGCCTGAGGCAGGAGGATTGCTTGAGCCCAGGAGTTCGAGGCTGCAGTTGAGCCACGAATTTGTCACTGCGCTCTAGTCTGGGCAACGGTGAAACCTGTCTCAAAAAAAAAAAAAAAAAAAAAAAAAAAAAAAAAAAAAAAAGAAGGAAGAAAATGAGGGTGGCCTCTGGCCAACAGTCAGTGAGAATCCAAATCCTGCCTGCCAACAGCCATGTGGCGAGTTGGGAAGTGGGTCCTTTCCTAGCTGAGCCTGCAAATGAAACTCAGGCTCTGGCCAGCAGCCTGAGTGCCTCCAGGAAAATATCCCAGAGAAAAGGACCCAGTGAAGCTGTGTCCAAATGCCTGACCCACAGGAACAGCGTGGTAATAAATGTGTGTTATTTTGAGCCGCTAAGTTTTGGGGTAATGTTTTGTGCAGCAATCAATAACTAATACAGATGGCATGTTTTATGATGAACATCACTGATTTTATGGGATTTTGATAGCACTTTCATACTCCAGAGAGATTGAAAATCTCCGTTCACCTCTTGGGGAAAGTGGAGAGAAACTAAGTTCATACCCGGTTGTATTTATATTATTTTTCTGGACAAATAAAAGTACTTTTATCCTACTCTTTTTTAATAATTAAAAAAAACAGAGATGGGAATCACACTATGTTGCCCAGGCTGGTCTCAAACTCCTGCCCACAAGTAGTCCTCCCACCTCGGCCTGCACTCAACCTCTTATCGTATTCTTCTACACCTTTATGCCTATACCTTTGTTTACACGCATCGGTTTTTTTCTTCTGATGGTCCCCTAGACATAAACTCAGGTTCATTAAATCCCGCCCTCCGACCTTTTTTTTGAGATGGCGTCTCACTCTGTGACCCAGGCTGAAGTGTAGTGGCGTCACGTCAGCTCACTGCAACCTCTGCCTCCCGGGTTCAAGCAATTCTCTTGCCTCAGCCTCCTGAGTAGCTGGGACTACAGGTGTGTACCACCAAGCCTGGCTAATCCCATTATCTTCATTCACCCTCACATCATCAAATGTTGGCCACGTCCCAGATCTTTCCCTCCGGGTGGCCCCTTGAACAAAGAGGACCTAGACATCACGGCAGAGTGTCTTAAATGATATGATATGATAGATGGAAATGATGCATAAAGAAGGACTTGGGACCCTTTCAGGCATGGTTGCAGGAAGGGCGCTGTAATGTGAACAGATGCAGGCTGTTCAGATTGTCCTCACTCGTGTCTCTGAAACCTGAACATGGTTCGCCTTAGTCAACGATGCCACTCAAGTTGCTCCTCCAAATACACAGGCTTGAGTGCCACCCTAGATTCTACTGGCTTTTAAATTTCACCTTTTTTAGGCCAGGTGCAGTGGCTCACACCTGTAATCCCAGAATTTTAGAAGGCTGAAGTGGGAGGAAGGCTTGAGCCCAGGAGTTTGAAATCAGCCTGAGCAATATGTCAAAACCCTGCCTCTACAGAAAAATACAAAAATTAACCAGGCATGGTGGTACCCGCCTGTAGTCCCAGCTACTCAGGAAGCTGGGGTGGGAGGATCACTGGCACCCGGGGGTCGAGGGTGTAGTGAGCCATGATTGCGCCGCTGCACTCCTGCCCGGGTGAAAGAGTCAGACTGTCTCAAAAAAAAAAAAACACTTTTTTTTAACAAAGGTTTTTTTAAAGTCACTTTTTTTTTTTTGGAATAGCATTTAGGGAATTGAGGGAAAATACCACCAGGCAATGGAATGAAAAGAGAAGGAAAAGCAAAGAGAAGTTATACTAACAGAGATAACCAAAGATGTTTTTTCTCCTAAGTTTAAAAGACTGGGAACTCTTAAATTCTCCGCCAGGAATAAATTCTCTGTCTCAATCCTGTTCTCTCTTGTTTCTGTCCAAGGTTAGATAAAATTATACCTATGAGGGTTAGGGGATCTATTTCACTGTTAAATGGAAACAGCTATATAAATTTTAATGTAGAGATTATATTTATCTATGTCATAACCAGGGTCTTAAAATTTTGCAATCTAATTGTTATATTCAATGGTTCTCAAACTATTCTTTTGGAGCTGAGGAAGCCTTTCTTTAAATGAAATCTCTCAGGCAAGACCAATATGTGTAGCAGTTAAAATAAGAGCTGCTGGAATACTACTCAGCAATAAAAAGGAAAAATAGGGCCAGGCGTGGTGGCTCATGCCTGTAATCCCAGCACTTTGGGAGGCTGGGGTGGGTGGATCACCTGAGGTTGGGAATTCGAGACCAGCCTGACCAACATGGAGAAACCCTGTCTCTACTAAAAATACAAAATTAGCCAGGCGTGGTGGCAGGTGCCTGTAATCCCAGCTACTCAGGAGGCTGAGGCAGGAGAATCGCTTGAACTGGGGAGGCAGAGGTTGCAGTGAGCCAAGATCGTGCCATTGCACTCTAGCCTGTGCTACAAGAGCGAAACTCCATCTCCAAAAAAAGAAAAGAAAAGAAAAGAAAAAAACGAAAAGGAAAAATAAAGCACTGATGAATAACACAATTTGCAGGAATTTCAAGGGAACTTAACTGAGTGGAAAAACCAATCTCAAAAGGTCATGTACTGCATGATCCATCCTATTTATATAATCCTGAAATGACAAAATTCTAGAGATGGAGAACAGAATAGGGATTGTCAGGGATTAGGGAGGCGAGGACCCTGGGAAATAGGTGTGGCTTTACTAGGGTAGCACAAAGGTATACTTGTAATGACTGTTCTGTGTCTTCACTGTGATGGTCCCACGTATCTACATGTGATAAAGTTGCATGGAACTGAACACACACATGCATACAAATGAGCACATGGAAAACTGGTGAAATCTGAAGAAGGTCAGTGGATTGCATCAATGTCAATTTCTTGGTCATGATGTTGTACAAGATATGCAAAACTGAGTGAGGGTATATATGGGATCTCTCTGTATTATTTCATACAACTGCATGTGAATCAATGCTGTTCTCAAAGTTGAAAGTTTTTTTAAAAACCAGAATTGCCTTAGAAGTTGTTTGGGACTCACTCCCTCCCTGTTTTCTTCTCCTTAAAGTGAGTACCTTAGAGCACCATGAAGAAACCTCAGGTCAACTCCAAGACCTGCATTTGGCAACAAGGAGCTCCCACCCAGAGATAGAGGGTGACCTGTGCTCACTACCCAGTGAGGGGGTAACAGGGCTGGAGACTCAGCCTCATCTCAACACCTCCAGATTTTCAGCCAAAGACTCTTTCTTCTAAATCTAAATTATTGTTGTTGTTTTTGAGACAGGTTCTCACTCTGTCACCCAGGCTAGAGTGCAGTGATGTGATCTCAGATCACTGCAACCTCTGCCTACCAGCCTCAAGAGATACTCCCACTTCAGTCGCCTGAGTAGCTGGGACTACGGGCAGGTGCCGCCACACCCAGCTAATTTTGTAGTTTTTGTAGAGGCAGGGTCTCACTATGTTGTTCAGGCTGATCTCAAACTCCTGCACTCAAGTGATTCAGTTGCCTCCGCCTCCCAAAGTGCTGAAATGACAGGTGTGAGCCACCACATCCAGTAAGTTCCAATTGTTTTGTCCTTGCTGAATATTTGCTGTGAAGACCAAATTAACTAAATACATGAAGCAACTTAAAATCATTAATACTGGAAGCTAATGAGGCCTTGTAAAACCCTGTGGAGAGGGTAATAATCTTAACCCTGTTTTACAAGTGAGGAAATTAGAGCACAGAGAGGTTAAGTAATTTGCCCAGAGGTAAACCCTAGTGGGTGGCTCTGCTGGGATTAGAACCCACATGGTCTGGCCCATGAGGGTTCCATAGTGCTGGGCTGAGCACATACTAATCGCACAAGATGACATGTGTCTGTGTGTGTACACGCATATGCACAGGTGTGTGTCTTTCAAAAGTCAAGTCTGCATGCCTGCTAAGGCCATCATAGAAATGAGATTTGGGTTTAAAACTCAGCACCTTTGCTAATGCTGTGTTTCTCCTACCCTCCTCCACTGGAGAAATTTAATTTGCTCAGGAATCTCCCATTTTGCCACCGGGAAAGCACAAAGTGACAGAACTTTGGCAGCTTCAACTGAGGGCTCCAGTACTTGTGGCCCAGCTGAACTTGACATTGCAAAGGGAGGGGAAGTTCCTCCCAAATGTCAGGTAGCACAGACATGGAGAGCTGGCCTCATGCCCAAACCACTACGATAATGCCCGGGCCTTGTCATTTACTGCTGTTTCTGCTCACATCATCCAAAGATGCTTCATTAGCTCCTCATTCCATCTTTATTTAGTTTTCCATCAATGTCTCTGTCACTTTTATTTCCTCTTCTTGATTTCAAAATTTGTACTTAGCTGTCAATTCCGAATATACCCACGACTTCCCCATCAGAATCAATTATTTCATAATTACATAACTCATTTGTATCAAATAAATTCTTCTAGTTATTTTTGTTGTTGCTTTTTTTTTTCTGAAATGGAGTTGCGCTCTTGTTGCCCAAGCTGGAGTGCGATGGCATGATCTCAGCTCACTGCAAACCTCTGCTTCTGGGGTTCAAGTGATTCTCCTGCCTCAGCCTCCAGAGAAGCTGGGATTACAGGCACCTGCCACCGCACAGAGCTAATTTTTTGTATTTTTAGTAGAGATGAGTTTTCACCTTGTTGGCCTATAGTTTTTAATGTGGTCACTTTTTCGGGACTATCAGAAGACCTTGAGTTTTCTATTGTCTCATGAAATGTTTCCTTGCGCTCGGATGATAAGGATCAGAGATTGGGAGAACACAGCAAGTAACATGCTGTTCACACAAGCAATTTTTATTGTTTTTACAAAAATAAATTTATATTATGATGTAGTACGCTTTTTTTTCACTTAATAAATTGTGGACTTTTTCCAACATTATTTTGATGGTTACTGTTTTGGGTTGAATAGTGTCTCCCAATAATTTATGTCCACCCAGAACCTGTGAATGTGACCTTATTTGCACATGGAGTCTTTGCAGATGTAATCATGCTAAGATGGGGTCTCCCTGGATTAGAGTGGACCCTACATCCAGTGACTGGTTTCCTATGAGAAGAAAATTTGGGCACAGAGACATAGGAGAAAGAAGACCCCGTGAGGACAGAGGCAGAAGTTGGAGCACTACAGCTACAAGCCAAGTGTCTCCGTCCATTTGTGTTGCTGTAAGGGAACACCTGAGGCTGGGTAATTTATAAAGGAAACAAGTTTATTCGGCTCACAATTCTGCAGGCTGTGTAGGAGGCATGGCACCAACACCTGCTTCTAATGAGGGCCTCAGGAAGCTTCCGCTCATGGTGGAAGGTGAAGGGGAGCTGAATTGTGTGAAGATCACATGGCAAGAGAGAAAGAAAGAGACAGAGGAAGGAGGTTCCAGGCTTTTTTGAACAACCACCTCTCGCAGGAACTGATTGAGCAAGAACCCAGTCATTACTGCAAGGACAGCACCAAGGCATTCATGAGGGGATCCATCCCCATGACCGATGGTCATGGGTGTTTAGAAATCAGGGTTGCTTTAGAAGCCTTCCATTCTGCCCTACCTCCAACACTGGGGATCAGATTTTCACATGAGATTCGGAGGAGACACACAAACCAAACTATAGCGTGAAGGAATGCTAAGGATTGCCAGTGACCACCTAAAGCTGTGAGAGAGGTATGGAACTGGTCCTGCCTCAAGGCTTTTCAGAAGGAACTTGGCCATGCCAACATCTGCATTTCAGACTCTGGCCTCCAGAACTGGGAGAGAAGAAATCTTCATTGTTTTAAGTGATCCAGTTTGTGGTCATTTGTTATGGAAGCCCTCAGAAAATAATATAGCTACTTAGCGCTGTATCACATGAATCTATTAAACATATTTAACCAATTCCCTAACAAACACTGGTTTGTTTTTCTTTTCTTTCTTTTTTTTTTTTTTTTTTTGAGATGGAATCTCGCTCTGTCACCCAGGCTGGAGTGCACTGGTGTGATCTTGGCTCACTGCTACGTCTGCTTCCCGGGTTCAAGCAGTTCTTGTGCCTCATCCTCCTGAGTAGCTGGGATTAAGGTGTGTGCCGCCACACCCTGTCAATTTTTGTATTTTTAGTAGAGATGGGGTGTTACCATGTTGCCCAGGCTGGTCGCGAACTCCTGAGCTCAGGCAATCTTCCCTTCTCGGACTCTCAGTGCTGGGATTATAGGCATGAGCCACCTTGCCTGGCCAACACTGGTTTGTTTCTATAAAGAACATTTTTTGAACTCAGATTGTTAGTTTCTGTACCCTTATGCCATTTTCTAATAACTTGTCTCCAAGTGGCCGGTGGTATAGTGCTGAGCATAGGTGCCTTTCTGGTAATTTATTTTCAAAAGTAAATTTGTTAAAGCAAAGGGATGCACTCTTTTAACAATTTTTATTTATACCACAAAGTTCATTTGCCCATCCGCCTGCAATTCATCAGAGGACCAGTTATTCTAGCTCCCATCATGAGATGGCATCATAAAATATTATGAAATACTTGCTTCTAGAATGCTTCTAGAATATCCTTATTTTTCACCACCTACCCTGTGACCTCCTGCTAGGCAGATACCATACTGTCTTGTCAACCATGGTATCCCCAGAGCCTGACACATAGTAGGTGCTCAATAAATATTTGATAAGTGACTAAATAAATAAATGGATGTCCATTAAAATCATAGCAGTGATATCCTTCCTTCCCCCAAATGAATTTTTCCATATGCAATTTGGCAACAAGGGTTAACTTATTTGTTATCATTTTAGTCCAGATCATTGATAAATATTTATAATCAAATAAGTCCCTGTGTACTCAGCAATCTGCTAGTCACTAGACAGATAGATAACAGGCTAGACAGGTAGATATAAAGCATTTTTAAAAATTGCCTTTACTTTGTGGAATTTACATTATTTTTTTGAGACGCAGTCTCTCTCTGTCGCCCAGGCTGGAGTGCAGTGGCGCTATCTCAGCTCACTGCCAGCTCCGCCTCCCAGGTACACGCCATTCTCCTGCCTCAGCCTTCTGAGGGGCTGGGACTACAGGTGCCCACCACCACGCCTGGCTAATTTTTTTTTTTTTTTTGTATTTTTAGTAGAGACGGGATTTCACTGGGTTAGCCAGGATGGTCTCGATCTCCTGATCTCGTGATCCGCCCGCCTCGGCCTTCCGAAATGCTGGGATTACAGGTGTGAGCCACGGCGCCCAGCCAGGAATTTATTTTTTAAAAGCTGTTCTTGGGTTTATTCTTTTCCTATATGCAGCTAATTTTTCTTTTTTAATAACAACTTTACTAAAATATAACCTATATACTAGTATATTCACCCTTTTAAAGTTATAATTCAGGACGGGTGTGGTGGCTCACCCATGTAATCCCAGCAGCATGGGAGGCCAAGGCAGTTGGTTTTATAGGGCCAGGAGTTCGAGACCAGCCAGGCTAACATGGTGAAACACCTCTCTACTAAAAAACAAACAAAAATTAGCAGGGCGTGGGGGCACCCACCTATAATCAGAACTTCTCGGGAGGCTGGGGCACAAGAATTGCTTGAACCCAGGAGACAGAGGTTGCAGTGAGCCGAGATCATGTCACTGCACTCCAGCCTGGCCAACAGAGTGAGACTTTGTCTCAAAAAAAAAAAAAAATGTTGTGCAGCTATCACCACTGTCTAATTTAGATCCTCTTTCTGCAAAATTCCATATTTATTAACAGCCACTCTCCGTTCCTTTCTCCTCCCAGGAACTAGCCACTACTAATCTTCTTTCTATCTCTATAAATTTGTCTATTCGCATCCAGGCAACCTTGCACCTCTGCTGGACAGGGTTTATGCCTGTGTTTCGTAATTCCATAATGCTTTGCATCTTTAGGAATTTGACAGATGCCTAAATGGCCAATGGCAAACACCCAGAAGCTCTGCAGAATTCTAAAACATCATTCAGATTTAGTAAATGAAAGCAGAAAAGTCCATCATATTTTAGGAAAATCTTCTGTCCATGGGGTCAAAAAAAATTTTTGTTTAATTAAACCCTCAGTTTTGTTGTACATGTTCACTTTTTGTGCATTTTTGCTGGTATTTCTTGCTCAAGGAAACAGCTCTGTCAATATACTTGCCGCATAATGAACTCCATCAATTCACTGCCATGCTGGGTCTTCGCATTTATGATGACACTTCCTCTGCCTTATGTTATCAGGAAGTGAAGGCTTCCATAGAAGTACATTTTCCAGATAACTAAAGTTAGCTCTTTCAAAGGCCACTCCTGAATTTCAATTATATTTTCTTATGAACGTCATTCTAAAATGCATACATATGGTGGATGTCTGGACAGAATTCTAAGATGATTCCCCAAGACACCCCTGCCCAGGTGTACACGTCCTATTTAGTCACCAGACCTTTGAACATTATAGATCTCACTCCTGTGATTAGGTCACGTCACATGGCACAGTTGCCTTAACAAAGAGAGCTTAGCCAATGGGCATGCCATAAGTCCTTTAAATCTGGGTCCAGAGGTCAGAGACAAAGACATCAGGGATTAGGAGCTTAAGAAAGATTCAGACCGGGCACAGTGGCATGTACCTGAAGTCCCGGCACTTTGGGAGGCGGAGGCAGGCAAATTGCTTGAACCCAGGAGTTTGAGACCAGCCTAGACAATATGATGAAACACCACCTCTGCAAAAAGTACAAAAATTAGCTGGATGTGGTGGCATGCATCAGTTGTCCCAGATACTGAGGAGGCTGAGGTGGGAGGATCTCTTGAGCTTGGGAGGCTGAGGCTGCAGTGAGCTGTGATAGCACCACAGAACTGCAGCCTGGGTAGCAGAGTGAGACACTGTCTCACAAAAGAAAAAGAAAGTTTCAGGGCACCATGTTGGGTTGAGCATGGAGGGGGCATCCGGCAAGGAATGGGGACATCCTCTAGGAGCTGACGGCAGCCCCAGCTGAGAGCCAGCAAGGAAACAAACACCTCAGATCTATAGCCACAAGAAGCTGAATGCCACCACCCATAGCAATGAATGTGAAAGAAGACTTTTCCCCAGATCCTCTAGGCAAGAACATAGCCCAACTGACACTGATTTCAGCCTTATGATACCCTAAGTACAGAACTCAGTCATTTTGTTCCAGACTTCTAACCTACAAAACTCTGAGTTCATAAATGGATGGCATTGGAAGCCACTCACTAAGTGTGTGGTAATTTGCTAGACAGAAATAGCAACAACAGGAAACTAACACAAACACCTGTCTTTTAAATAACTGTGTTCATTTTACTATAAAACAACTTTAAAAAAATCTCTTTCTTTTAAAGAAAATCTCTATTTCATGATGCCTTGACTAGCCCAGAGGAGAGGATAAGAAAAGTGGTCTTGGTGCGAGGGTGGAAGTATGGGTTGCCACTTCAAGTCATGTCATTAGATGGGGGGTTAGCAGAGGCAAATCAAGACAGTCATGATTGCTTTGCAAATGTTTGAACTGATTCAGACGAATGTTAAAATCTGCCACATCTATTCCAGTAAAAATGGTAGAAAAAACCCTGCCACAGCATCCAATAAGTGTGGGAAAAGATGCTCAACATCATTAACATCAGGGAAATGCAAATCAAAACCACAATGAGATACTGCTTCACACCCACTGCGATGACTGTAGTCCAAAAGTCAGATAATAACAAGTGTTGGCAAAAATGTGGGGAAATGGAAACCCTTACACAGTTGTCCCTCCCTATCCTTAGGGAATGGGTTCCAGGACCCCCTGAGGATACCGGAATCTGTAGATGTTCAAGTCCCCTATATAAAGTGGCACAACATTCACGTATAACTTACACACTTCATCCTGTATATGTTAAATCATCTCTAGATTACTTACAATATCTAATACAATGTAAACGCTATGTAAACAATTGTCATACTTTCCTTTTTATCTTTTTTTAGTGTATTGTTATTCTTATTGGTTTTATTGGTTTATGTTTCAATATGCAGTTGGCTGAATCCTTGGATGCAGAACTCAATGATATGGAGACTAACTGTACGTTGTTGGTGGAATGTAAAATGGTGCAGCTGCTTTGGAAGAGACTGAACGTCCCTCTGATGGTTAAAAGTGGAGTAAACACATGACCTAGATATTCCACTCTTAGGTATTTACCTAAGTGACATGAAACACAAGTCCACACCAAAACTTGGACTAGAATGTTCATAGCAGCATTATTCATAACGGCCAAAAAGTAGCAACTACCCAAATACCTATCAACTGACTAATGGATATATAATATGTGCTATAGCCATACAATGGAATATCATTTGGCAATAAATAGAGATTAAGTACTGATATATACTACAGTATTTATGAACCTTGAAAACATTATGCTAAGTGAAAGAAGCCAGGAGGACCCAGTGTAAGATTTCACTTATAAGAAATGTCCAGAATAGGCAAAGCTATAGAAAGAGAAAGAAGATTAGTGGTGCCTGGAGCTGGGCGAAGCAGTGGGGATTTAGGAATGAGGGCTATGAGGGGTAGGATTTCTTTTAGGGGTTGTGGAAATGTTCTAAAATTGATCATATTGATGGATGCACAATACTGTGAACACACCAAAAGCAATTGAATTGCACACTTCAAATGGATGAATTGTACAGCATATGAAGTATATCTCAATATAACGGTTTTTTTTTTAAAAAAAGATGCACAATATATTGCAGGGCCACTCAGAAACCACCTGGTGTGTACAGGGAGGGGCCCACGAGCCGGCCAGGCCCTTCAGCATCTTCTCAGGGGAACTTGGCACTGTCTGCATACATGATGTAAAAGGTGACCAGGGAGCAGCAAAGCCAAGAGCTGAGGAGTAGAATTCTTGCAGCTGCAGCTGCTCAGAAATCCCCATTCAGGGCTTTACTGGCAAGGTTCACCTTGGTTAAAATCTCATCATGCCTTTTCTGTAGTCAGAGTGATGTCAAGACTGATTAATGGTTTGACTAAAAATATAACAATGATGAGAAAATGAGAAAAGAGGAGGTGGGGTGTAAAGGGAGCTAAATCCACATCTATCCCAACCAGAAATAAATACATAACAGTTAATGTTGGTAAACTGTGCAATAGGAGTGGAAGCATCTCATTTAGACATGTAGAAGTGGCTGCCTCGTGGATCAGCTAAGGTATTTAATGTGGCTGCCTCTGAGAAGGGGCCATATGGAGACAGATAGGGGAGGAGAGGGCTATATTTTACTTTGAGATTTTTAGGTGCTACATTATTTTTTAAACTATTAAATTGAACCATATGAAATTGCCATTTTCACAGGTGCAAAATGGTTGAAGACAGGGAATTTCATATGATTCAAACTTGTATCTGAATGCATTTATTTTGGTTACATATTTTGAAAAATAATAAAGTCTATTGGATAAAAGATGTCTGTATTAGTCCGTTCTCACACTGCTAAGAAAGACATACCTGAGACTGAGTAATTTATAAAAGAAAGAGGTTGAATTGACTCTCACTTTAGCATGACTGAGGAGGCCTCAGGAAACTTACAATTATGGAGGAAAGGGAAGCCAACACATCCTTCTTCACACGGCAGCAGTGAGAATCGAGCAAAGGGGCAAGCCCCTTGTAAAACCATCGGATCTTGTGAGAACTCCTATCTTAAGAACAGCATGGAGGTAACCACCCCCATGATTCAATCGCCTCCCACCCAGTCTGTCCCGTGACATGTGGGGATTATGGGAACTACAATTCACGATGATATTTGGGCAGGGACACAGCCAAACCGTATCAATATTCAAATACAACTTGGTCATCTGCCAAAACATTTAGCCCTTTGAAAGTGAAGAAGGAAGATGAGCAGGTAAAGAATCACTTCTGGAGCCCTCAGCATGTGCGAGGCACTTACCTTGTGCATCGAATTCTCATAGCAGCCCCACAGGTAGGCAGGTAGGAACCAGTCTCATTTCGAATTTAAAGGTAACAAACATAAGACCCAAAGTCCGGGCATGGCGGCTCATGCCAGTAATCTCAGCGCTTTGGCAGGCCCAGGCAGGTGGATTGCTTGAGCTCCGGAGTTAAAAACAAGCCTAGACAACATAATGAGACTCCATCTCTACAAAAAATAAAAAGTAAATTAGCCAGGCATGGTGGTTCATGCCTATAGTCCCTGCTACTCGAGAGGTTGAGGTGGGAGGATCACTTGAGTCCAGGAGGTAGAGGCTGTAATGAACCCTAATCACGCCACTGCATTCCAGGCTGGGTGACAGAGCGAGATTCTGTCTGGGAAAATAAATAAATAAATACAAAATAAATAAGAGAAAGAAGTACACATTTAAGATCTGACATGAAAAACATCCTTGACATATCGTTAAGGTGGGGAGGGCCTCTATGTAAAACAAATAAGCAAATCCATTTTGATCACTTATATTTTTCTAGAAAATTATTATTTTCATCTATGTTTTCAAATTTACTGGTTTAATCTATGCATAGTAATCTCACAGATTAAAAAAGGTTAAAGGTGAAAGAAAGTTGCCAATCCACATGTAAAGAAGGATGGCAATTTGTCACACTATTATTTCATTTTATTTTATTTTTATTCTAGCTAGCTGGCATTTGGGGTCAGTTTGGTTCCCCTGCGAGGCAGAGAGAGACAGAGTTAGGAGTGTGGGAGGGAGTTATTCGGGGTAATACCTGTAAAAGATAAAGGCAGGGGTAGAGCGAGGTGGCTCACACCTGTAATCTCAGCACATTCTCAGCCCAAGGTGGGAGGATCGCTTGAGCCCAGGAGTTAGAGACTAAACTCACCATCACAGTGAGATCCCATCTCTACAAAAAGTGAACAAATAGGCCGGGCACAGTGGCTCACGCTTGTAATCCCAGCACTTTGGAAGACGGAGGTGTGTGGATCACCTCAGGTCAGGCGTTTGAGACCAGCCTGGCCAACATGGAGAAACTCCATCTCTACTAAAGAAAAATAAAATAAAATTAGCTGGGTATGGGGGTGCACACCTGTAATCCGAGCTACCTGGGATACTGAGGCAGGAGAATCACTTGAACCCAGAGGCAGAAGTTGCAATGAGCCGAGATGGAGCCATTGCACTCTGACCTGGGCAACAGAGGGAGACTCTGTCTCAAAATAGTAACAATAATAAAATAAATAAATAAATATTAGCTAGGTGTGCTGCTGCTTTCCTATACGACCAGCTACTTGAGAGACTGAGGCAAGATGATCCCTTCAGCCCACAAGTTTAAGCTGCAATGAGCTATGATTGCACCATGGCACTCCAGCCTGGGCAACAGAGGGAGACCCTGTCTCTGAAAACATAAATTAAAAAAAATATTGTGGGGCGCAGTGGCTCACACCTGTAATCCCAGCACTTTGGGAGGCCAAGGCGGGCAGATCAGGAGGTCAGGAGATGGAGACCATCCTGGCTAACACGGTGAAACCCCGTGTCTTCTAAAAATACAAAAAATTAGCTAGTGTGGTGGCGGGCACCTGTAGTCCCAGCTACTCGGGAGGCTGAGGCAGGAGAATGGCGTGAACCCAGGAGGCGGAGCTTGCAGTGAGCTGAGATCAGGCCACTGCACTCCAGCCTGGGCGACAGAGCGAGACTCCGTCTCAAAAAATAATAATAAATAAAAAACAAACAAACAAACAAACGGAAGGACAGTATTGGGCAGGAGAAGGCACAGATCTGACCACGAGTGAGATTAGGAGAGGCAGCAGAAGCAGGAGCGAGAGCCTCAGACCCCAGCAACGCATTCCTGATGAGGCCCCGGCCAGTGCAGCAGGGAGCTTTAGAGCCAAAAATGCCCTTGAGAGACGATCCGCATTGGGCAGAAGTGGCTGGGCCCTAGTATCCCCATCATGTTCACTCACTGCCTGGGGGCTGAGTGTGTCCTCAGCTCAGAAGCTCTGGGAGACCTCCGAGGTGCTGCAGGTGGAAGCCGTCAGCCGCCTGCACTCCACGCAGCTGCGCGGCTAGCTCCTTCTTGAAGTTTAATCCAAGCCGTGTATCTCCACGGTTGCCATATTTGTTGGGTATTCACTTGCTCTAAGCACTATCCATCTCGCCACTCATTAATTTTAAAGATGATTCTGAAAGGTACGGTAGGAAACAGAGGCACAGTGAAAAAAATGAGTAAATTATCTTGCCCAAGATGGGACCGTGAGTAGCAGAGTCCGTTCAGGGCCAGCCAGGAGAACTGACTCCCATATCCAAGCTCTGAATTTCCACACTACCCCATGGTATGGTGGATGTATTGTTTTACGCATAGAAGACAGTCCGGAAACACATCCACCAAACTCTCACAGTGACCAATCTCAGGGTGAAGGTGAAGATTTGAGAGGAACTTTCCACGTGGCAGACTTTGATCTAATTTATATCTTATTGTACAGCAAGAATCATTAACTTTGTAATAATAAACAATATAAAGTGATTGTGGAAAAAACAGAAAGGTTCCAAGTTTGGCAATCTGCCAGTTGTGGGCCACAGGTGTTGTCAGGTGTAACGGGGACAGAGGAGAAGGTACCTGAGTCCTTTGTTATTGTTGGGAGTCTAAGTCCTGTGGGTGCCTGGGGACCAAGACTGGTGGAAGGTGAGCAGGTGAGGTTGTTACTGTCCACTTTCTACTCCATTTCCACCGCTAAGTGCTTTGAGCAAGGTTGGTGTTGTGTCCCTCCTCAATTTTTTTTTTGAGACAAAGTCTCACTGTTTTGCCCAGGTTGGAGTGCAGTGGCACAATCATATCTCACTGCAGCCTCCGGTTCCTGGGCTCAAGTGATCCTCCTACCTCAGCCTCCCAAGTAGCTAGGACTACAGGCTCTGTCACCCTTGGCTAATTTAAAAAAAGAAATTTAGAGATGGGATCTTGCTATGTTGCCCAGGATGGTCTTGAACTCCTGGCCTCAAACAATCCTCCCACCTCAGCCTCCTGAGTATGTGTAATTGCAGACTCCAGCCACTGTGCCAGAAAACTCCAAATTCATATACTGAAGTCCTAAACCGCAATATCTCAGAATGTAAATGCATTTGGAGACAGGGTGTTTAAATAAGTGAGGAAGGTAAAATGAGGTCACTGGGGTGGGCCTTAATCCAGTATGACTGGTATCCTTACAAGAAGAGGAAATCTGGGCACACATGTGTACAGAGGGCAGATGATGTGAAGACGCAGAAAGATGAGAGCCATCTACAAACCAAGCAGGGAGGCCTGAGAAGGAACCAACCCACTAGCATCGTGATCTCGCACTTTCAGCCTCCAGCATGGGGAGAAAATAAATTCCTGTTGTTCAAGCCTTTCCAGATCTGTGGATCTCTGGTACCTCATAGGCACCCCGAGAAGACTAGAAGAGTTGGTTAGGATCAGAAATGAAATGAAAATGAAGCAGCCACCACGGCTTGCCTGGTACCCTCTTGCCTCATTCCAGCTCCTGGCTGTTCAAGTGTCACTCTTCAGCTTGGAAACGGGAGAAAACCTTGGATCAGAAAACCTGGAGCCAGACAGACCTGGATTTAAAGCCCAGCTTTCAGCACAGGCAAGTGTCTTTACCTCTCTGAACTCCTCATCTCTAAAAATGAAGGATGATCAGACTGCTTCTCTGTGTGCATGAGAATTACATGACACACTGGGAATCAGGCCCGCAACTCTTGGCCGGCACATAGTAGGTGCTCAACTTGTCAGCTCCATTTCAGTTTTTGCCCACTTCCACCAAACTATGTGGCTTGTTACTATGGGATGAATTGTTTGCCCCCAAAGTTTATATATTGAAGCCCCAAACCCCAGTACCTCAGAGTGTAAGTGTGTCTGGAGACAGAGCTTTTAAAGAGATTGTTAAGTTAAAACAAGGCTGTTAGAGCAGGCCCTAATCCAATGTGACTGGTGTCCTTATAGGAGGAGGAAGTTTGGACACAAAGGAGAGACACCAAGGGCATCTATCTGCAGAGGAAAGATCGTGTGAGGAGACCGTGAGAAGAAGGCCATCTGGAAGCCCAAGAGAGAGCCCTCAGAAGTAATCCTACCAACACCTTGATCTTGGACTTTCTGCCTCCAGAATGTGAGAAAATAAATCTCTGTTGTTTAAGCCACAGTTTGTGGTATTTTGTGGTGCTGGCCTGAGCAGACTAATATAACCTCCGTGGTGGGCAGCCTGCATCAGGTAGAGTTTGATTAGGGAAGCAGAAGCCCTGAGAGTGATATTAAGGCATTTATAACAGGGATTAGACCCCGTTCCATGTAGGAGCTGGTGGAGGCATCTGTCGAAGGCTGGTACCTCTGCATCTAGGAGTGGGTGGATTGTATGTCAGCAGGGCCAGTGGTCAAGATGTGAAATGCGGCAAGCGAGACTGGAGTCTGAAAGAACAAACTGGGACCCACAGACAGTGGAAGACCCATGCTTGCCTCTCACTGCCTCTCACCCTCACAGCAGGGGTGACCTGCAGAAGGACCTGACTCTCTCCTCTGCAGGGCTGCATGATCACCTGGCCCAGGACTTTGAGAAGCTGGAGAAAGAGAAGTGGTAGGAGGCAGAGGAGCTGCAGGCCAGCCTGCTGCACACCCCCAAGGGAAGCCAGAAGGCCTGTGGCGAATATGCATCAGTTATGGCAGCACCTGCTCCCCTGCACTGACCTGCACAGCATGGTGGCTGCCACTTCCCTTCTGCTTTCCAACCCTCCCATAAATCTCCCTTCTGGCCACTTCTAGCCCAGCACCCTACAGGGACAGGAATTGTAGGAAACCTAATTCCAGCTGGCTAGATGGCCCAGTGTGAAACCATCCCCAAGCACAGGATACTCATTGTCTTACCACACATAAGGGCTATCTAATCAGTTCCATCTAATCAGGCCTAATGGCTCATCTTCAAATAAGCAAGGTTTTGTATTTCTGTAATGAGTTATAGCTTCAGATTTCAAAATCCTAACCCATCTTCTGCGTCAGTCTCCTAAGGAGGGCGTTTTATTCTTCTCATCTTCTGGTTTTTTTTTTTTCTTTTCTTCTGAGATGGAGTCTTGGTCTGTCACCCAGGCTGGAGTGCAGTGGTATGATCTCAGCTCACTGCAACCTCTGCCTCCCAGGTTCAAGAATTAGAAAAATACACCCTTAAGAAATGATTGGATATTTTTATTAAAAAGTATTTTTTTATGTAAGGAACAGTTCTTCAAAAATGCATGCTTTTGACAAATTTATTCCACAGATTCATGCAGTGACTATTTAATGTGTGCCTGCTCCATGCCAGGCACCATTCAAAGAACTGGAAATATGGCAATAAACGAAGAGACAAAAATCCCTGCTCTTGTATTGCCATTAGTCAAGCTCATTCAAATTTAACCAAATTTCAAACTCACTACTGTGATTCACGACAGAAATGCACCTTGATTTTCTTCATGTTTAGCTGAAAAAAGTGCTTCCTAACCATTTTGAAAATCTGGCATAAAAGCAGCTAAGAGTTTTGAAGGTTGTTGCCCTGGGAACAAGAAGTGACAGGGGTGGGGCAGAGAGCTACCTCCTTTCTCTTTCTCATTCTGACATTTGTAGCCCCACCCTATTTCTGCCTTTTAAAATCTTACAGATGTGTTACTTTACTAAATTAAAAAAAAAATTGCTCCCAGGTTTTGGCCCCCGCAAAAAAAATTTTTTTTGAAGGGCAGTCACTGTTGCCAGTTGGATCCGTGGCCACTGCCCAGATCCCCACACCATGCTGTCAGAGAAGACCTTCAAGCAGTGCTGCACCTTCAAACAAAGAGTAGATGTCTGACTTATCCAAGAGTAGCATCCAACCCAAATCCCAGTGACAATAGTGATGTAGGAATTTTCTTCTCGGTCAACTTGCAAGCCATGGACCCCTGGCTGGTGATGACCCATCCAGGCCTGGGCCTTGCTCCGTCACGCTGACATGC
This sequence comes from Homo sapiens, assembly GCF_000001405.40. NCBI lineage: Eukaryota > Metazoa > Chordata > Mammalia > Primates > Hominidae > Homo > Homo sapiens. The sequence continues at coordinate 114,549,056 of NC_000012.12, forward strand.
CCCAGCTTGCCTTTGTTACAGCTTGTACCTGCATTCAGCAGTTCCCAAGCTCTTGTACCACACCCAAGAAGAATGAGGATACACTGGACATTGAAGGATGAGGAGGGCGGAGAAGAATTTTATTGAGTGATGAAAATGATTTTTAGCAGAGAGGGGACATGGGGTTGTTCCCCCTACCCAAAGGCAGGAAAGTTCCCCCCGTGTGGCTGGGTCCAGGGCCTTTTGTGGACTTAGAATGGGGAGTGTGTGCTGATTGGTTTGTGAGTACGCAAAAAAGTTAAAAGTGAAGACACTACTCAAAGGTAGGCATGACAGTGTAGAAAACCAATTAGGAAAGGGTAGGTGTATGTAAAGTAAGTGAAGGGTGGGGATCAGTCAGGGGCAGGTGCTCCAAACGGGAAGACAAGTTCTCAACCCTGTCTGGGGATTTAACTTGCAGCTTGGCTTTCAGGCTTTTAACTGTCTTCTGCTTGGAGGTGGGGTTTCACTTGGCACCTGCCCGTATCTGCCTCCTGTTGCTATCAATAGAATGATACCAGGGTGAGAAGGAGCTTCCTGTCCTGGATAAAACAAAGTTCCTTGTACCTGATCACGTCAACATGAGTGAACTCACCAAGATAATTAAAAGGTGCTTACGGCTCAATGCTAATCAAGCCTTCTTCCTGTTGGTGAATGGACCCAGCACGGTGAGTGTTTCTACACCAACCTCAGAGGTGTATGAGGGTGAGAAGGATGAAGATGGATTCCTGTACACGGTCTATGCCTCCCAGGAGATGTTTGGAAGGAAATTGTCAGTATACAACTAGAAAAATGCATCTATTCTAGAATTTTTAAAACCGTTACCAAGGGAAAAAAAGGGATGTTACTAACTGAGATAGATCAGTTCATCTAATCAGATCATCAAACAGTAGTTCTCCCACCTAGGAGAAGTTGGATTTGTATTTCAAGCAGAAAAACTGAGTTCCCAGTGAGTATGTTCAGTTTTGGCAACTATATTATTATTATTACTATTGAGATGGGGTCTCACTCTGTTGCCCAGACAGGAGTGCAATGGTGTAATCTTGGCTCACTGAAACCTCTGCCTCCTGGGTTCAAGCGATTCTCTTGCCTCAGCCTCCTGAGTATCTGGGATTACAGGCATGTGCCACCATGCCCAACTAATTTTTGTATTTTTAGTAGAGACGGGGTTTTACCATGTTGGCCAGGCTGGTCTTGAACTCCTGGCCTCAAGTGATCTGCCCACCTTGGCTTCCCAAAATGTTGGGATTACAGGTGTGAGCCATGGTGTCCGACCTGGAAAGTATAGTATTATTTTTATTTTGAGGTGGAGTCTCACTCTGTTGTTCTGTTGCCTAGGCTGGAGTGCAGTGGCGCAATATCAGCTCACTGCAACCCAAGTTTCAAGTGATTCTCCTGCCTCAGCCTCCCAAGTAGCTGGGATTGCAGGTGCCCAACCACAACACCCAGATAATTTTTGTATTTTTAGTGGAGATAGGGTTTCACCATATTGGCCCGGCTGGTCTAGAATTCCTGACCTCAAGTGATGACAGGCGCCGCCTTGCCCTCCCAAAGTGCTAGGATTACAGGCGTGAGCCACCATGCCCAGCCGATATTATATTATTTAACATAGGCTAGCTTGTTATCGAAGTTTAAACGTTTAAAAATAAAATACTTTGCATTCTAAGTTGCCAGTGAAATAGACTTTCAAGTTAAAAGTTTCGTGCAAATGTAATTGAGTTTTTTGCCATTGAAAGTAATGGCAAAAACTGCAATTACGTTTGCACCAACCTAATATTTCAAAGCTATTTCTCCCTAATAGGAACTTGCAATTCAAGCAGTAATCTAAAGGCTTTCAGAGAGACATGGAGTCTTCTCCTCAAGTCCACAGGACCTGCCACCTTTTTATAAAGGTTTTCTACTCAGCTAGAGAGACTCCCTAAGAGGATTCATAAGCCTAAGTTGTGAAGCATAACCACCCCCCCAAACACACTTGCCATAATAGTTGGCACAAATGCAGGGTAAATGGGGGTGTGTAGGAAAACTACCCTGACTCTAAACTGGTGCTCAAGGTTTCTGATTCCTAACAGAACTATGCCAAAAGTCCACATTCTTGCAGTAGTAGACACTTCTTATTTGGTTTGTTCTCTAGATAGTTACACACGTAAAAACAGCATTCAGGCCAGGCGCGGTGGCTCATGCCTGTAATCCCGGCACTTTGGGAGGCCAAGGCGGGTGGATCACTTGAGGTCAGGAGTTTGAGACCAGCCTGGCCAACATGGTAAAACCCTGTCTTTACTAAAAAAAAAAATTAGCCAGGCGTGATGGTGGGTGTCTGCAAGCCCAGTTACCTGGGAGGCTGAGGCAGGAGAATTGCCTGAGCCTGGGAGGCAGAGGTTGCTGTGAGCAGAGATAGTGCCACTGCACTCCAGCCTGGGCGACAGACAGAGACTCCTGTCCCTAAAAAAAAAAAAAAAAAAAAACAAAAAACAAAACAAACAAACCAAAAAAACACCATTCAATAGGAAACTAGAATAATTTATAATTTTGGTTTAGCTTCTTAAAAGACCCCAGAGAAAGAGTGGCATTTCTTGTTTCAGGTGTTGTCTGATCTAAGAGTTCAAAGTCGTGCCTGCGTTGGTACAGAAACAAGCAGTGTACCAGTGTCATTCTTTAGGACAGTGGAAGAAACCACAGAATAGTATAATTAAAAGCATTAAAATTCAGACACACTCCCTTCTACCTTTTGGCTTAAAGCTATGGATGATCCATGCTTTTTATTTTAATGTTAAATGTATAACTAGGTGTTATTGAAAGATTTCCACATTTTTTTTTTGAGATGAAGTCTTGCTCTGTCTCCCAGGCTGGAGTGCGGTGGCGTGACCTCGGCTCACTTCAACCTCCGCCTCCCAGGTTCAAGCGATTCTCTTGTCTCAGCCTCCTGAGTAGCTGGGACTACAGGCGCCCGCCACCACACCCAGCTAAATTTTTGTATTTTTAGTAGAGACGGGGTTTCACCATGTTAGTCAGGATGGTTTCGATCTCCTGACCTCGTGATCCACCTGCCTCGGCCTCCCAAAGTGCTGGGATTACAGGCTTGAGCCACCGTGCCCAGCCCCACATTATTAATAGTAGTTCAGATATCACTGTTAGGTCAGACAGCCATCAGAATTCTCCCACTTTAAGGGCATGTCGATTATAGAGGAAGCATAGCAAAAGCAGACATATGCTCTTTACAGATACTCATGTCAAGAGTTCAACATCTTCAAGTTCAACCTATGATAAAAGACCAGTGCTACCCACTACCTGCATGGGGTTCACCATTTCCCATATTCTTGGGAGTATCACAGGAAGACCACGGCTGCACCACTTTAGACTGTATGTGTAGGAGGTCACAACTTACCCTTGTGTGTTTAGATGTGTGTGGAATACCTGTATATGTTAGTGAAAGCTGTTTAGTGTAATGAAGGCGAAAACCAGATTCCTTGCATCTGGGTCCTCTACTGAGCATTCAAGGAGCTCCTGTCACCTGCTCTCCCTGCTGCATACATCAGTCCACTTGGCTAAGTTTTCATATGTGTGTGTGTGTGTGTATGTATCATATGTGTGTGTGTATGTATATATATACATTATATATATACACATTATATATATACACTATATATATATATTTAGATGGAGTCTGACTCTGTTACCTAGGCAGGAGTGCAGCTGCTGCATACATCAGTCCACTTGGCTAACTTTTAATATGTGTATGTGTGTGTGTGTATTATGTATGTGTGTGTATATATATACATTGTATATATACACATTTTATATATGCACATTTTATATATATATACATTGTATATATACACATTATATATATATACATTATTGTAACCACTGTGTGATAAGTAAGAGTCCTATAAGAAATACTGCTTTAAAAAAAAAAGAACATTCTGAGGTGAAATATAGTGACCTACATCCCACATTCGTGGGTGATCACTTCATTTGTAGGACCTTTAAAACAAGTATTATACATTTTTAATGAACTAACTTGAATAAGGCACAATTAAAAACTGTTACATATATGTGTGTATATATGTATATATACGTGTATATATGTGTGTATATATGTGTATATATGTATATATGTGTATATATATGTGTATATATGTATATATATGTGTATATATATGTGTGTGTGTATATATATGTGTGTGTGTATATATATATATATTTTTTTTTTTTTTGCAGGCTCTGGAGTAAGTTTACTCACTTTCAAACTTCACATCTGTCCCTTTTCTGGCTCCGCGATCTTAAGAAATGTACTTATTCCTCCTTACTCTCAGCTTTCCACATCTGTAAAATGGGGATAATATATGTAACACTCTGAAAAGTCTCGTTGTGATACTTGAATGAAGTCATGTGTGTGCATATAGAAAAAACAAACTGTTTCTCCTCTTCTATACTCTCACAATACTTCTGGTCATTAAAATGTGTGAGGTTTTCCCATACCAAGCACTTCTCCAACCCCAGGTGGATGTCCTATAATTTAATTCACTTCTGACACTAACTGGAGTTAGTGCAGACCCCATAGGTTAAGGGCTTAGTTCCCCCACTTTACTTATTTATTTTCATTTATTTCTATTTTATCTTATTTTTTGAGATGGAGTCTCACTCTGTCACCCAGGCTGAGTGCAGTGGCATGATCATAGCTCACTGCAGACTCGAACTCTTGGTCTCAAGTGATCCTCCCGCCCTGACCTCCCAACGCGTGGGATTACAGGCATGAGCCACTGCACCTGGCCCCTAGTCCCATACCTGAGATGCAAATTGCGAAGTTCCAGGAGGTTGTCATCTGTACTTTTGACCGACTGGCTATAAATCAAGGTTCCCTCCTCCTCGGGTTCAATAATTTTCAAGGATGACTCGCAGAACTCGGGATAATATTTACTTATGTTTACTGGTTTATTTCATAATAAAGGATATGAAAAGGGGTACAGAAGATCAGCTGGATAAAAAGATACACAGGGTGAGGTCTGGAAAGGTCCCAAGTGGAAGAGCTTCTGTTCCCAGGGAGCTGGGGTATACCATCCTCTCAGCACACAGATGTGTTTACCAACCAGGGAGCTCTCTGCACCCCCCAGTACAGGGACTTTTATGAAGGCTTCATCACATTTGCATGATGGATTATTAACTCAATCTCCAGCCCCTTTCCTTTCCCAAAGGATGGGAGGTGGGGCTGAAAGTTTCAAGCTTCTAGTCACGGCTTGGTCTTTCTGGTGACCAGCCCCCATTCAGGAGAGTCACCTCATTAGAATAAAAGATGCTCCCATCACCCAGGAAATTCCAAGGGATTAGGAGCTCTATGTCAGGAACTGGGGTCAAAGACCAAATACTAGAATAAAAGATATGCGTATCACCCAGAAATTTCCAAGAAATTAGGAACTCTGTGTCAAGAACTGGGGTCAAAGATCAAATACTAGAACAAATGATGCACCTAACACCCCCCCATCACTCAGGACATTACAAGAGTTTTAGGCACTCCGTCAGGAAGTATTGGCAGAGACTACAGACATAGATATAGATACATAATTATTATGCCGAACTATGTAAAGAGATCAACATGGTGTGCACCTATGGTTCCTATCCTTCAACTGATGGCTGAAATACCATTTCTCTGACTTCTCTGCTCACCCCAATCCCGATTTTATTCCACACCAATATTCTGCTTAAGTAGTTATTCATTTAACACCTGCTTTTCTTCTTATTTATTTATTTGAGACAGGGTCTCTCCCTGTTGCCCAGGCTAGAGTGCAGTGGCATGACCTTGGCTCACCGTAGCCTCAACCTCCTGGACTCAAGTGATCCTCCCACCTCAGCCTCCCAAATAGCAGAGACTACAGGTGCATGCCACCTTACCTGGCTAATTTTTTAAATTTCTTGTAGAGATGGGTTCTCACTTTGTTTCCAGGCTTGTCTCAAACTCCTGGGCTCAAGCGATCCATTTTCTTCGGCTTCCCAAAGTGCTAGGATTATAGGCATGAGCCACCGCACCCTGTTTGCTTTTCCATTAGGCGCGGAAGACCCTATGGTGAAAAGGAAGGATCAGGTCTGTTTATGTCTTGTTGTATCCCCAATGTCTGGGAAAGGTATATCCTTTTCAAGACTGAAAACTGTAGCTCAGATAGATGAAACTTGTTCATAGGTGAAAGAGACCAGAATTCAAAACTGGGGTATCCAGTCCTCTTGGTCACCTCATTTCAAACCTAGGTATGATTTGAAACTTCTGGGATCAGAACCCAACACCTTGCTGTAGTCTAGATATGTTGGTACCTGGAAAGCTAAAGACATTTTTTACTTTGGCTTAGCCAGGGAGCTAGAGGTCACACAGGGAACACATTAAACAAACAGAAGTTAAGTAGAAAAGGACAAGAATTTCCTAAGGAACAGAGTGGCCCTGGCTGGTTCTGCAGCTCTCAGCCAGGTTCCAGCTCAAAGGTGTAAGGGTGAGTGAACCTAAGTGTGGGAAGGGCTTTGCTGTTCTTGGAGCCAAGATCCTCAGGAAAGCTAAGTTGGCCGACTATCACCTCATGTCCTGATGGTTATTTATGATGACTCGGCAGAGATTATGTTCCTTGATAAACACAGAGGACCAGGTGTCAGCTTATATTGGAACAGTCTGCTGTAGCCCTGTTTTGGGGCAGAGGTAAAAAATTCAAACCCTACAGAAATACCTAAAGAGAAAGGCAGACAAACATATAAACAAAAATCCTAGCAACAGAATGTCCATCTCAAAGGAAAAACCTCACTGGGTATGGTGGCGCATGCCTGTTGTCCCAGCTACTAGGGAGATCTGAGTCAGGAGGATCACTTGAGCCTAGGAGTTCAAGGCCGCAATGAACTATGATTGTGCCACTGCACTCCAGCCCGAGTGACACAGTGAGACCCTATCTCTAAAAATGAAAAAGAAATAAAGGAAGAGAGAGAGAAGAGGTGAGAGAGAGAGAGAGAAAGAAAGAGACCTCTATTGACATGAATATTCTTCCAGAATTTTGTTCTCTCTCTTCCCACATTCTCCTATACATTCAAATTTTAATGATTGTATAGTATTTCATCAAAAAGAAGGCAGGTTATTACCAATGTAATTATATTGATCCTCTCTGTTGGATTTTACATTGTTTCTAGTATTTCCCTATTACCAGACAAAAACGATGATCATTCTTGCATATAACTTCCTTAACTTGTGAAATTGTCTCCTTGGGATAACGTACTAGAGGATAAACGGCTGGATTGCCTAATTGCTTTCCAAGAAAGATTTGTCCCGGCTGGGCGGGGTGGCTCACAACTGTAATCCCAGCACTTTGGGAGGCCGAGGTGGGTGGATCTCCTGAGGTCAGGAGTTCGAGACCAGCCTGGCCAATGCAGCGAAACCCCATCTCTACTAAAAAATAACCAAAATTAGGCCAGGCGCAGTGGGTCACGCCTGTAATCCCGGCACTTTGGGAGGCCAAGGTGGGCAGATCATGAGGTCAAGGGTTTGAGACCAGCCTGACCAACATGATGAAACCCTGTCTCTACTACAAATATAAAAATTAGCTGGGTGCAGTGGCCAGCGCCTGTAATCCCAGCTACTCAGGAGGCTGAGGCAGGAGAATCGCTTGAACCCGGGAGGCGGAGGTTGCATTGAGCCGAGATCAGGTCACTGTACTCCAGCCTGGGCGACAGAGACAGACTGTGTCTCTAAATAAATAAATAACAAAAATTAGCTAGGTGTGGTAGCGGGTGCCTGTAATCCCAGTGACTTGGGATGCTGAGGCAGGGGAATTACTTGAACCCAGAAAGTGGAGGTTGCAATAAGCCAAGATCACTCATTGCACTCCAGCCTGGGCAACAAGAGCGAAACTCTGTCTCAAAAAAAGAAAAACAGAAAAGAAAAAAAAAAAAGAAAGATTTGTCCCAATTTGCATATCCACCATTCATCTTTGAAGGTGTTTATTTCTTTAGATATTTAATATCACTGGGTAGTAAAACGTATCTTAACCTTTGCCATTCTAAGAGGCAATGCAGTAAGTCTCTTTATTGTTTCTTATTTGGAACACAAGCTTCTGACTTATGAGTTGCCTAAAGGCATTATAGGTAGCCAAGTAGCATATAAATGCTCTGTTCATCTCAGATGGTCCCTTGTTATATTTTAAATTCAGGAGAGCCAGATTTCATGCATGTTTTGTTTTCTGTTATCTCAAGAAAGCCATTCCACTTTGGGGGTCTTAATTTACTCATCTCCAAAATGAGAGATTTAGACTAGATTATCACAAAAGGCCTGTTAATCTGTAGGTAGGGGATTTGTCCTCTCCCAAAATTCATAGCAGGCAATTGCCTGGAAGTTGGTTGGGACTGACCTGGGAAGAACTCTATGTACTTGGCAGGTGGGCAGGGAATATTAGCCAGGACTTTATTGAAGTTGGTTAGACACAAAAGAAGATGCATGCATGAGATCAGTAGGAACGGCAGGAAGCAGATAAATTTCAGGAGCAATCACAATTTTAAAAGTTGATAGGTACCATTTTTCCCTGCCCATTGGTTTCCTGTGCTCAGATCAGACTTCAGCGTGCAGCTGGAAACTTGTCTACCAGTTGCTTCTATCCTCACACTTCACAACTTCACCGTTAGAGAGACAGCAAGAGTCACTCTCTCTGGTTCCTTGTTGAAAAAGATTCTAGAGCATGGTTTTAATAATTAGCCAAGCTTGGTTGACGTGCCCAATTCTGGAGAGCCAAAAAATGATAGTATTGTGAGTGGTTCAGCTTGCGACAGGTGATGTATTTATTGATCAGCTATTGTTACCACCATGCTTTGTAAGAACCATCACAAAACTCAATGCCATGTGTTTATGCCACCAGTATATGAAAATGTCTGTTTCCTCACACACTTGTGAACCTGGGTATTATCATTCTTTTTCCATTGCTAATAGCAGTGGAAAAAATTTCCCTATTACTCTAATGAAAATGTATTAATGTTTATCATGCTAATATTCAGTGTGTCCTTAGTGGCTACAGGTATTTCTATGTCAATGAATTGCGTATTTATGTCGTGAAGAAGCCTCAGAGACATAAAACGATAATCATTTATTCTCATAGATCTAACATTCAGACGAAGCTCAGGTTTGGTTGTTTAGGTGCATTCTCCCTGGAGGTTCGTGCATTGGCTAAGATGGCTCTCCTCCACATTTTTTTCATCCTCCTTGGAACAGTGGACTAACCAGGGCATGCTCTTCTCATGGTATAGTGCTTTTGAGATTCATTCATGTTATTATATGCATTGTAGTTCCTTCCTTTTTTAATTTTTTTTTTTTGAGACAGTTTCATTCTATTGCCCAGGCTAGAGTGCAGTGGTGCAATCTTGGCTCACTGCAACCTCTGCCTCCCAGGTTCAAGTGATTCTTGTGCCTCAGCCTCCTGAGTAGCTGGGATTACAGGCACGTGCCACCATGCCTGGCTAATTTTTTTATTAGTAGAGATGGGGTTTCACCATGTTGGCCAGGCTGGTCTCAAACTCCTGACCTCAAGTGATCCGCCTGCCTCGGCCTTCCAAAGTGCTGGAATTACAGGCGTGAGCCACTGCGCCTGGCCAGTTCCTTCCTTTTTATTGCTGAGTAGTATTCCTTTATAGGATTATGACACACTTTGTTTATCCACTGACCAGTTAGTTGATGAACATTTGAGTTGTTTCCAGTTTGAGGCTATGATGAATCAAACCACTATGAATATTTAAGTATAAATCTTGGTGTAAATGTGTTTTTCTTTCTCTTGGATTAAAACGAGAGATGGGATTGTTGGATTGTATAGTAAGTGTATGCTTAACCTAATAAGAAACTGCCTGTTTCCTAAAGTGGACATACAATTTGCATTGCTTCCAGCAACAGATGAGAGTTCCAGTTGCTCTACATCCTCTTCATTCTAATGGTGTATGCTGTGCGTTGTAGTTTTAATTTGCATTGTCATAATGACAATCGACATATATGTTTTCATGAACTATTTCCCATCCACATATCTTCTTTTTAAAAATTTTTTTATTTTTTGAGACAGAGTCTTCTCTATCACCCAGGCTGGAGTTCCGCCGGGGTTTTGCCATGCTGCCCAGCTGGTATCAAACTCTTGGACTCAAGCAATTCACCCACCTCAGCCTCTCAAAGTGCTGGGGCTACAGGCATGAGCCACTGCACTTGGCCATATATCTTTTTTAGTAAAGTGACTATTCAAGTTTTTTACTCATTTTAGATCAGGTTATTTATCTTCTTATTATTGAGTTGTAAGTTTTTAAACCTCTTCTCAATGCATCTTGTTTCTTACATATCTGTTTTGTCAGTATTTCTTACAGTTTGTGCCTTGAGTTCTGATTTTCTTAACAGTGTCTTATATTTTATATGGTGAATGTTTAATTTTGTTGAAATCCAATTTATTATTTTTTCTTTTATGATTCATGTTTTCTGTGACCTATGCAAAGACATCTTTGCATACCTGAGGACACAGTGATTTTCTTCTATATTTTCTCCTGAAATTTTGTTTTCTTCCTGAATTTAATTTTCACTTTTACATTTAGGTCTACAATTCATCTCAAGATAATTGTGTGCATTATATGAGGTATGGGCTGATATTTCTCTTTTTTGTATATGGTTGTCAAACTGATCCAGCACCATTTATTGGAAGGATTATTCTTTCCCTATTGAATTTTCTAGGTACTTTTTCCAAAAAGCAATTGAATATTTATGACATAGTTCAATTTCTACTCTCTGTTCTATTCCATTATCAATTTGCTCATTCTTATGACAATACCACACTGTCTTGATTACCATATCCTTATAGTAAGTCTTAAAATTAGTGAGTATATGTCATCCACCCTTGTTCTTTCATTAAACTGATTTGCCTAGTCCAAGTCCTTTACATTTCAATACAAATTTTAGAAGTGGCTTATCAATTTCTACAAAAAGATGACTGCTAGAGTGCTTTCAGGATTGTGTTCAATCTATAGATGAGTTTGAAGAGAAATGGCATCTTAACAATATTGAGTTTCCCAATCCATGAACTATTTCTGCTTCATGTATCTTGAAGCACATTAATTGACATGTAGAGTGGCTATGTTTTCTTGATGAAAAGAGATTCCTTTTGTTATTATAAAAAATCCTATTTTATCACTGGTAACATTACTGGTTATAAAATTTACTTTATTTGATGCTAATATTGCCAATCAAGCTTTAATTAGCCTGTGTTTTTGTTTTCTTTCCCTATGCTACTGCCTAGAACTTCTCCCTAGGCAGTAAACCGGGAAAATCACAGACCTTACCTTCTTTTTGTTCATTCTCCCAGGGATCAAATTCCTGCCCTTCCTGTTGTCCAATGTCCAGAAAACATAATTCAATACATTTTTCAGTGTTCTCCTTTTTTTAAGGTGGAGGCGAGTAATAAGACCCCTTTTACTTATCTTGGCTAGAAGTGGAAATTGCAGAAGTAGGTGAAGGCAAATCCTGAATTCACATCATTTCGCTTCCAAATAATATGTCTAAAAATGGGACGTTTTATTACAAATCCACGATGCCATTCTCGTACTTCACTCCAGACAATATTCATTTCTTCTATGAATGCCTAAAAAAATTTAAAGTGTTTTGACAGTTGGTTTGTTCACATGAGGATCTAGACAAGATCCACACTGTGCATTTAATTGTTTGTCCCTGAAGTCTTTTTTATCCTAGAGTAGTGTTCTTTTTCAGACATATAGTTTTTAGGATGAAAACATCTTCAAGTCAAAGTGGGACTTTTATATACTGATTAAGGGAAACATAGGTCAAGATGCTGTAAAGATCATTAACTATATACTCACAACCTTATAAAAACTGACAGAACTCTGAGGAGTTAGTGATCACTGATAATTGCCTAATTAGATATTTTAACATACCCTTTTCAGAATTTGCAACCACAGAAATACAGAAAGTAAACAAAAATATGTAAATATTGAATACAAAAATTATAATGGACATCTAGAAAGCTGAACACTGAACAAATAGAAAGTAGATATTATTTTTAAGTAGATATGGAGCAGAAAAGTCATCTATGTCCCAGATACACAGAAAGCTACAATAAAAATCTAAGAATCTATACCATATATCTCATGTTCCTTAAAGATAAGTTAGTGCTATCATATATCAATGACAAAAGAACCACAGATTTATATATTAGATAATAGAAGAAAAAAACTCATAAAGAAAATTATGAAATATTGGAACTGAATAATGATGAAATTATTACCCATTAAATTTCATGGGACAAAGTCCAAGTAGCAGTTGGGAACATTTTCTATCTTTATTTGCACTGAAGTGTAACATACATACAGCAAGGTGCTTAAATCTTAAGTATACAGGTTGGTGAATTTCCTGGATATGCATATATCCATGTAACTGACACCCAGATCATGTTGTAGAATATTACCAGTACCTAAAGGGTTCCTACATACCATTAAAGATTGGGAAAACTGGAGTTCTCTCTCTCACTATTACTGTTCAGCCTGGTGAAGAAGGAAAGAAAAATAAATCAGTATGTCTAAAATAAAATAATATGTTTGACCAGGTGTGGTGGTTCATGCCTGTAATCCCAGCACTTTGGGAGGCTGAGGTGGGAGGATCACTTGAGACCAGAAGTTCAAGACCAGCCTGGGCAATATAGTGAGGCCTCATCTTTATGCTAAGAATGTTTTAAATCTAAAAGAGAAATTTGAATAAAAATAATTTTTAAAACCTCAATATGTTTGTCTTCATAGAAAACTCAAGAGAATCAAGAGACAAACTTTTAGAACTAATAGGGAATTTGGTAAGACTTCTAGATACACAGTCAATCATGTACTTTATAAATGTTAAATATACTGTATCACATACAAAATTACGTTTTCTATAAATAGATATGTATATTTATCTGTCTATATATACCTCAAGATTTCGTAGGTATCTGTGAATTGATATGTGTAGCCTTTTGGAGTAGGGCCTACCGTAGAGAAATGGGGGTAAGAAATAAAATATAAAAGGGGGAAATTAATCATAAAAATAAAAAATGATAAAGGAATTGCATGAACTACTGATAATATGTGTGGCGACTTGAGGAATATGATGAACTCAACTTCACAAAGCTGAAGTCCCAAAATACTGAGATAAAATGGAGCCTTAAAAAATCAGAAACATCCCTTGCTGATTCATATTCAAATTCATAAAGCATCCCTTATAACCATGACTTTGTATGACATTCAACTTTGCTGGACTCCATTTGCTGTCCTGGTAAAATGAGAATCATAACATCTCTAAGATACACAATGGGGATATAACTACCTAGGAGCTACTGAAACATGGAAGCAAGCTGCCCTAGGAAGCAAAGTGGGCCTCTCCTTCCCTGCTTTTCTCTAATCATGAAAGCTGAGCCTGCAGTGAAGATGACAGAGGAATAAAATGCCCTCCTTAGGAGAATGATGCAGAAGATGGCTTAGGATTTTGAAATCTGAAGCTATAACTCATTACAGAAATGCAAAACCTTGCTTATTTGAAGATGATCCATTAGGCCTGATTGGATGGATCTGGTGAGCCCTTGTACATGGAAAGAAAATGAGTGTCCTGAGCTTGAGGACAGTGTGGGCCACCTAGCCAGCTGGAATTAGGTTTCCTACAATTCCCATCCCTGTAGAGTCCTGGGCTGGGGGTAGCCAGAAGGGAGATTTGTGGGAAGTTTGGGAAGGAGGAGGGAGGTGGCAGCCACCATGCTGTGAAGGTCAATGCAGGGGAGCAGGTGCTGTCATAGCTCATGCATATTCGTCACAGGCCTCCCGGCTTCCCTGGGGGGTGTGCAGCAGGCTGGCCTGTAGTTCCTCTGCCTCCTACCACTTCTCCTTCTCCAGCTTCTCAAAGTCCTGGGCCAGGTGATCATGCAGCCCTGCAGAGGAGAGAGTCAGGTCCTTCTGCAGGTCACCCCTGCTGTGGGGGTGGGAGGCAGTGAGAGGCAAACATGGGTCTTCCATTATCTGTGGGTCCCAATTTGTTCTCACAGACTCCAGTTTGCTCTTGTTTGCCCCATTTCACATCTTAACCACTGTCAGTCCTGCTGACCTGTGGCAACATACAATTCCCCCACTTCTAGACGCAGAGGTAGCAGCCTTCCACAGATGCCTCCACCAGCTCCTACATTACACGGGGTCTAATTCCTATTAAATGTGCCTTAATATCACACTCAGTGCTTCTGCTTCCCTGATCAAACTCTACCTGATGCAGGCTGCCCACCATGGAAAGTATATTAAAGTCTGCTCAGGCCAGCACCACAAAATACCACAAACTGTGTGGCTTAAACAACAGAGATTTATTTTCTCACAGTTCTGGAGGCAGAAAGTCCAAGATCAAGGTGTTGGTAGGGTTATTTCTGAGGGCTCTCTCTTGGGCTTGCAGACGGCCATCTTCTCACAGTCTCTTCATATGATCTTTCCTCTGCAGATAGATGCCCTTGGTGTCTCTCCTTTGTGTTCAAACTTCCTCCTCCTATAAGGACACTGGTTATTTTGGATTAGGGCCCACCCTAACAGCCTTGTTTTAACTTAGCCATCTCTTTAAAAGCTCTGTCTCCAGACACACTTACACTCTGAGGTGCTGGAGTTTGGGGCTTCAATATATGAACTTTGGGGCACACAAATCATTCCACAGTAATGAGCCACATAGTTTGGTGGAAGTGGGCAGAAACTGAAATGGAGCTGACAAGTTGAGCACCTGCTGTGTGCCCACCATGTGTTATGGGCCCGATTCCCAGTGTGTCATGTAATTCTCATGCACCCAGGGAAGCACTTTGATCATCCATTTTTAGAGATGAGAAGCTCAGAGAGGTAAAGACACTTGCCTGCACTCACACAGCAAAGCTGGGCTTTAAATCCAGGTCTGTCTGGCTCCAGGTTTTCTGATCCAAGGTTTTCTCCCATTTCCAAGCTGAAGAGTGGCACTTGAACAGCCAGGAGCTGGAATGAGGCAAGAGGGTACCAGGCAAGCCATGGTGGCTGCTTCATTTTCATTTCATTTCTGATCCTAACCAACTTTTCTAGTCTGCTCGGGGTGCCTATGAGGTACCAGAGATCCACAGATGGAAAGGCTTGAACAACAGGAATTTATTTTCTCCCCGTACTGGAGGCTGGAAGTACAAGATCAAGATGCCAGCAGGGTTGGTTCCTTCTGCGGCCTCCCTGCTTCGCTTGTAGATGGCTCTCATCTTCCTGCATCTTCACATCATCTGCCCTCTGTACACGTGTGTGCCCAGATTTCCTCTTCTTGTAAGGACACCAGTTATACCGGATTAAGGCCCACCCCAGTGACCTCATTTTACCTTCCTCACTTATTTAAACACCCTGTCTCCAAATACATTTACATTCTGAGATACTGGGGTTTAGGGCTTCACTGTATGAATTTGGGGGTTGCTGACACATTGACACGAGTCATAATTACACATCCTCAGGAAGCTGAGGGGAAAGGATTGTTTGAGGCCAGGAGTTCAAGACCATCCTGAGCAACATAGCAAGATCCCATCTCTAAATTTCTTTTTTTTCAATTAGCCGGGCGTGACAGTGCATGCCTGTAGTCCTAGCTACTTGGGAGGCTGAGGCGGGAGAATCACTTGAGCCCAGGAATTGGAGGCTGCAGTAAGATATGATTGTGCCACTTCACTTCAGCTTGGGTGACACAGTGAGACTTTGTCTCAAAAAACAAAAAACAAAACTAAACAAAAAAACACCACGTTGAGGAGGGACACAACACCAACCTTGCTCAAAGCACTTAGCGGTGGAAATGGAGTAGAAAGTGGACAGTAACAGCCTCACCTGCTCACCTTCCACCAGTCTTGGTCCCCAGGCACCCACAGGACTCCCAACAATAACAAAGGACTCAGGTACCTTCTCTTCTGTCCCCATTATACCTGACAGCACCTGTAGCCCACAACAGGCAGATTGTCAAGCTTGGAACCTTTCTGTTTTTTCCACAGTCACTTTATATTGTTTATTATTACAAAGCTAACAATTCTTGTTGTACAATAAGATATAAATTAGATCAAAATCTGCCACGTGAAAGGTATCTCTCAAATCTTCACCTTCACCCTGAGATAGGCCACCGTGAGAGTCTGGTGGATGTGTCTCCAGACTGTCTTCCATGCCTAAAACAATACATCCACTGTAACATGGGGTAGTGTGGAAATTCAGAGCTCGGACATGGGAGTCAGATCTCCTGTCTGGCCCTGAATGGAGTCTGCTACTCACGGTCTCGTCTTGGGCAAGATAATTTACTCATGGATTTCACCATGCCTCTGTCTCCTATCTTACCTTGCAGAATCATCTTGAAAATTAATGAGTGAGGAGATGGAAACTGCTTGGAGCAGGTAACTACCCAACAAATATGGTCAAATGTGGAGATGCACAGCTCGGATGAACCTTCAAGAAGGAGCTAGCCACGCAGCTGCGTGGAGTGCAGGTGGCTGACAGCCTCCACCTCCAGCACCTTGGTACTGTTGGCTTCCTCTTCCACCATAATTGTAAGTTTCCTGCGGCCTCCCCAGTCATGATGAATTGTGAGTCAATTAAACCTCTTTCTTTTTTAAATTACCTGGTCTCTGGTATGTCTTTATTGGCAGCATGGGAACAGAATAATACAGATATCTTTTATCCAATAGGCTTTATTATTTTTCAAAATATGCAACCAAAATAAATGCATTCAGATATAAGTTTGAATCATATGGAATTGCCTATCTTCAACCATTTTGCACCTATGAAAATGGCAATTTCATATGGTTCAATTTAATACTTAAAAAAAAATAGCACTTAAAAATCTCAAAGTAAAATATAGCCCTCTCCTCCCCTATCTGTCTCCATATGGCCCCTTCTCAGAGGCAGCCACATTAAATACCTCTAGCTGATCCACTAGGCAGCTACTTCTACATGTCTAAATGAGATGCTTCCACTCCTATTGCTCAACTTACTAACATTAACTGTTATTGATTGATTTCTGGTTGGGATAGATGCGGATTTAGCTCCCTTTATACCCCACCTTCTCTTTTCTCATTTTCTCACCATTGTTATTTTTTTAGTCAAAATATTAACCAGTCTCAACATCATTCTGACCATACAAATGACATGATGAGATTTTAACCAAGGTGTACCTTGCCAGTAAAGCCCTGAATGGGGATTTCTGAGCAGCTGCAGCTGCAAGAATTCTACTCCTCAGCTCTTGGCTTTGCTGCTCCCTGGTCACCTTTTACATCATGTATGCAGACAGAGCCAAGTTCCCCTGGGAAGATGCTGAGGGGCCTGGCTGGCTCGTGGGCCCCTCCCTGTACACACCAGGTGGTTTTTGAGTGATCCTGCAATATACTATGCATCTTTTTTAAAAAAACAGTTATATTGAGATATACTTCGTATGCTGTACAATTCATCCATTTGAAGTGTGCAATTCAATTGCTTTTGGTGTATTCACAGTATTGTGCATCCATCAATATGATCAATTTTAGAACATTTCCACAACCCCTAAAAGAAATCCTACCCCTCATAGCCCTCATTCCTAAATCCCCACTGCTTCGCCCGGCTCCACGCACCATTAATCTTCTTTCTCTTTCTATAGCTTTGCCTATTCTGGACATTTCTTATAAGTGAAATCTTACACTGGGTCCTCCTGGCTTCTTTCACTTAGCATAATGTTTTCAAGGTTCATAAATACTGTAGTATATATCAGTACTTAATCTCTATTTATTGCCAAATGATATTCCATTGTATGGCTATAGCACATATTATATATCCATTAGTCAGTTGATAGGCATTTGGGTTGTTGCTACGTTTTGGCCGTTATGAATAATGCTGCTATGAACATTCTAGTCCAAGTTTTGGTGTGGACTTGTGTTTCATGTCACTTAGGTAAATACCTAAGAGTGGAATTCCTGGGTCATGTGTTTACTCTGTTTTTAACCATCAGAGGGACGTTCAGTCTCTCCCATAGCAGCTGCACCATTTTACATTTCACCAACAACGTACAATTAGTCTCCATATCATTGAGTTCTGCATCCAAGGATTCAGCCGACTGCAGATTGAAACATAAACGAATAAAAATAACAATACACTAAAAAAAGATAAAAAGGAAATTATGACAATCGTTTACATAGCGTTTACATTGTATTAGATATTGTAAGTAATCTAGAGATGATTTAAGGTGTACAGGATGAAGTGTATAAGTTATATGCGAATGTTGTGCCATTTTATATACAGGACTTGAGCATCTACAGATTCCGGTATCCTCAGGGGGTCCTGGAACCAAGTCCCAAGGATAGGAGGGGACAACTGTATGAGGGTTTCCATTTCTCCACATTTTTACCAACACTTGTTATTATCTGACTTTTGGACTACAGTCATCGCAGTGGGTGTGAAGCAGTATCTCATTGTGGTTTTGATTTGCATTTCCCTGATGCTAATGATGTTGAGCATCTTTTCCCACGCTTATTGGATGCTGTGGCAGGTTTTTTTTCTACCATTTTTACTGGAATAGATGTGGCAGATTTTAACATTTGTCTGAATCAGTTCAAACATTTGCAAGGCAATCATGACTATCTTGATTTGCCTCTGCTAACACCCCCATCTAATGACATGACTTGAAGTGGCAACCCATACTTCCACCCTTGCACCAAGACCACTTTTTTAATCTTCTTCTCTGGGCTAGTCAAGGCATCACGAAATAGAGACTTTCTTTAAAAAAAAAAGAGAGAGAGACATTCTAAAAAAGTTGTTTTATAGTAAAATGAACACAGTTATTTAAAAGACAGGTGTTTGTGTTAGTTTCCTGTTGTTGCTATTTCTGTCTAGCAAATTACCATACACTTAGTGAGTGGCTTCCAATGCCATCCATTTATGAACTCAGAGTTTTGTAGGTTAGAAATCTGGTATGAAATGACTGGATTCTGTACTTAGGGTATCATAAGGCTGAAATCGAAGTGTCAGTTGAACTATGTTCTTGCCTAGAGGATCTGGGAGAAAAGTCTTCTTTCACATTCATTGTTATGGGTGGTGGCATTCAGCTTCTTGTGGCTATAGATCTGAGGTGTTTGTTTCCTTGCTGGCTATCAGCTGGCGCTGCCGTCAGCTCCTAGAGGATGTCCCCATTCCTTGCCAGATGCCCCCTCCATGCTCAACCCAACATCGTGCCCTGAAACCTTCTTTGTCTTTTGTGAGACAGTGTCTCACTCTGCTACCCAGGCTGCAGTTCAGTGGTGCTATCACAGCTCACTGCAGCCTCAACCTCTCGAGCTCAAGTGATCCTCCCACTTCCGCCTCCTCAGTGTCTGGGACCACTGACACGTGACACCACATCCGGCTAACTTTTGTATATTTTGTAGAGATGGGATTTCACTATATTGTCCAGGTGGGTCTCAAACTCCTGGGCTCAAGCAATCTGCCTGCTTCTCAAAGTGCTGGGACTACAGGTAAGTCCCACTGTTCCTGGTCTGAATCTTTCTTGAGCTCCTAATCCCTGACGCCTCCGACCTCTACTCCCAGATTTAAAGGATTTATGGCATGCCCATTGGCTAAGCTCTCTTTGTTAAGGCAACTGTGCCATGTGACGTGACCTAATCACAGGAGTGAGATCTATAATGTTCAAAGGTCTGGTGACTAAATAGGACGTGTACACCTGGGCAGGGGTGTCTTGGGGAATCATCTTAGAATTCTGTCCAGACATCCACCATATGTATGCATTTTAGAATGACGTTCATAAGAAAATATAATTGAAATTCAGGAGTGGCCTTTGAAAGAGCTAACTTTAGTTATCTGGAAAATGTACTTCTATGGAAGCCTTCACTTCCTGATAACATAAGGCAGAGGAAGTGTCATCATAAATGCGAAGACCCAGCACGGCAGTGGGTTCATGAAGTTCATCAGGCAGCAAGTGTATTGACAGAGCTGTTTCCTTGAGCAAGAAATACCAGCAAAAATGCACAAAAAGTGAACATGTACAACAAAACTGAGGGTTTAATTAAATGGAAATCTTTTTTGACCCCATGGACAGAAGATTTTCCTAAAATATGATGGACTTTTCTGCTTTCATTTACTAAACCTGAATGATGTTTTAGAATTCTGCAGAGCCTCTGGGTGTTTGCTATTGGCCATTTAGGCATCTGTCAAATTCCTAAAGATGCAAAGCATTATGGAATTATGAAACACAGGCATAAACCCTGTCCAGGAGAGGTACAAGGTTGCCTGAATGTGAATAGGCAAATTTATAGAGATAGAAAGAAGATTAATAGTGGCCACTGCCTGGGAGGAGAAAGGAATGGAGAGTGGCCATTAATAAATATGGAATTTTTGAAAGAGAGGATCTAAATTAGACAGTGGTGACAGCTGCGCCACTCTTAAATACATTAGAAAAGATTGAATTATATACATTATTTATTTTCACTTATTTATTTTTTCAGACAGGGTCTCACTTTGTCGCCAAGGCTGGAGTGCAGTGGCGCGATTTTGGCTCACTGCAACGTCTGCCTCCTGGGTTCAAGTGATTCTCATGCCCCAGCCTCTGAGTAGCTTGGATTACAGGCGTGTGCCCCCATGTCGGCCTAATTTTTGTAATTTTTAGTAGAGAGGGGCTTCACCATGTTGGCCAACCTCGTCTCAAACTCCTGGCCTCAAGCGATCCACCTGCCTCAGGCTCCAAAAGTGCTGGGATACAGGTGTGAGCCACCACACCCGGCCTAAATTATAAACTTTAAAAGAGTCAATATTACAGTATGTAAGTTATATCTTAGTAAAGTTGTTATTAAAAAAGGAAAATTAGCTGGATATAGGAAAAGAATAATCCCAAGAACAGCTTTCTAAAAATAAATTCCCAACCCAATGTAAATTCTGCAAAAGCAAGCCAATTGTAAAAAATGCTTTATATGTACCTGTCTAGCCTGTTATCTATCTGCCTAGTATCTAGCACATTGCTGAGTACACAGGGACTTACACGATTGTAAGTATTTAGCAATGATCTGGACCAAAATGATACCTAATAAGTTAACCCTTGCTGCCAAATTGCATATGGAACAATTAGTCTGGGGGAGGGAAGGATATTACTGCTACGATTTTAATGGGCATCCATTTATTTAGTCACTTAGCAAATATTTATTGAGCACCTACCATGTGTCAGGCTCTGGGGATACCGTGGTTGCTAAGACAGTGTGGTATCTGCCTAACACGAGGTCAGAGGGTATGTGGTGAAAAATAAGAAGGATATTCTAGAAGCATTCTAGAAGCAAGTATTTCATAATATTAAATGACACCATCTCATGATGGGGGATAGAATAACTGGTCCTCTGATGAATTGCAGGTGGATGGGCAAATTAACTTTGTGGTATAAATAAAAATCCTTAAAAGAGTGGACCTTTTGCTTTAACAAAATTGCTTTTGGAAAGCAATTACTAGAAAGTCAGCTATGCTCAGCACTATACCACCGACCACTTGGACACAACTTATCAGAAAATGGCATAAGGGTACAGAAATGAACAATCGAAGAGTTCAAAAAATATTCTTGACAGAAACAAACCAGTGTTGGCCAGGTGTGGCAGCTCACGCCTATAATCCCAGCACTTTGGGAGGCCGAGGTGGGCAGATTGCCTGAGCTCAGGAGTTTGAGACCAGTCTGGACAACATGGTGAAACCCCGACTCTACTAAAAATACAAAAATTAGCCGGGCGTGGTGGCACGTGCCTGTAATCCCTGCTACTCAGGAGGCTGAGGCATGAGAATTGCTTCAAACGAGGAGGCGGAGGTTGCAGTGAGCCGAGATTGCACCTCTGCACTCCAGCCTGGGTGACAGAGCAAGACTACGTCTCAAAAAAGAGAGAAACAGACCAGTGTTCGTTAGGGAATTGGTTAAATATGTTTAATAGATTCATGTGATACAGCACTAAGTAGCTATATTATTTTCTGAGGGCTTCCATAACAAATGACCACAAACTGGATCACTTAAAACAATGAAGATTTCTTCTCTCCCAGTTCTGGAGGCCAGAGTCTGAAATGCAGATGTTGGCATGGCCAAGCTCCTTCTGAAAACCTTGAGGTAGGACCTGTTTGATGCCTCTCTCACAGCTTTAGGTCACTGGCAATCCTTGGCATTCCTTCATGCTATAGTTTGGTTTGTGTGTCTCCTCCGAATCTCACGTGAAAATCTGATCCCCAGTGTTGGAGGTAGGGCAGAATGGAAGGCTTCTAAAGCAACCCTGATTTCTAAATACCCATGACCATCGGTCATGGGGATGGATCCCCTCATGAATGCCTTGGTGCTGTCCTTGCAGTAATGACTGGGTTCTTGCTCAATCAGTTCCTGCGAGAGGTGGTTGTTCAAAAAAGCCTGGAACCTCCTTCCTCTGTCTCTTTCTTTCTCTCTTGCCATGTGATCTTCACACAATTCAGCTCCCCTTCACCTTCCACCATGAGCGGAAGCTTCCTGAGGCCCTCATTAGAAGCAGGTGTTGGTGCCATGCCTCCTACACAGCCTGCAGAATTGTGAGCCGAATAAACTTGTTTCCTTTATAAATTACCCAGCCTCAGGTGTTCCCTTACAGCAACACAAATGGACGGAGACACTTGGCTTGTAGCTGTAGTGCTCCAACTTCTGCCTCTGTCCTCACGGGGTCTTCTTTCTCCTATGTCTCTGTGCCCAAATTTTCTTCTCATAGGAAACCAGTCACTGGATGTAGGGTCCACTCTAATCCAGGGAGACCCCATCTTAGCATGATTACATCTGCAAAGACTCCATGTGCAAATAAGGTCACATTCACAGGTTCTGGGTGGACACAAATTTGGAGGAGACACCATTTAACCCAGTACGGTAACCATCAAAATGATGTTGAAAAAAAGTCCACAATTTATTAAGTGAAAAAAGCATACTACAACATGATATAATTTTATTTATGTAAAAAGAAAAAAGTTGCTTGTGTGAGCAACCATGTGACTTGCTGTGTTCTCCCAATCCCTGATCCTTATCATCTGAACTCAAGGAAACCCTTCATGAGACAATAGAAAATTCAGCATCTTCTGATAGTCCCGAGAAAGTGACCACATTAAAAACTATAGGCCAACATGATGAATCCCTGTCTCTACTAAAAATACAAAAAATTAGCTGGATGTGGTGGTGGGTGCCTATAATCGCAGCTTCTCTGGAGGCTGAGGCAGGAGAATCACTTGAACCCCAGAGGCGGAGGTTTGCAGTGAGCCAAGATCGTGCCATTGCACTCCAGCCTAGGCAACGAGAGCACAACTCTGTTTCAACCCCCCCCCCAATAAAACTATAGGAGGTCCTTTAATACAAATGAATTATATACTATGAAATAATTGATTCTGATGGGGAAGTCGTGGGTATATTCAGAATAGACAGCTAAGTAAAAATTTTAAAATCAAGAAGAGGCAATAAAAGTGACAGAGACAGGCCACGCATGGTGGTTCATGCCTGTAATCCCTGCATTTTGAGAGGCCGAGGCAGGTGGATCACCTGAGGTCCGGAGTTTGAGACCAGCCTGGCCAACATGACGAAACCTCGTTTCTAGTAAAAATACAAAAATTAGCTGGGAATTGTGACGCTTGCCTGTAATCCCGGCTAACTGGGAGGCTGAGGCAAGAGAATCGCTTGAACCCAGGAGGTGGAGGTTGCAGTGAGCTGAGATTGTGCCATTGCACTCCAGCCTGGGCAACAGAGCGAGACTCCATCTCAAAAAATATATAAATAAACAAAAAATAAAAGTGACAGAGACATTGATGGATAGCTAAATAAAGATGGAATGAGGAGCTAATGAAGCATCTTTGGATGATGTGAGCAGAAACAGGAGTAAATGACAAGGCCTGGGCATTGTCATAGGGGTTTGGCATAAGGTCAGCTCTGGATGTCTGTGCTACCTGACATTTGGGAGGGACTTCCTCTCCCTTTGCAGTGTCAAGCTGAGTTGGGCCGCAGGCACTGGAGCCCTCAGTTGAAGCTGCCAAAGTTCTGTCACTTTTTGGTTCCCTGGTGGCAAAATGGGAGATTCCTGAGCAAATGAAATTTCTCCAGTGGAGGAGGGTAGGAGAAACACATAGCATTAGAGGAAAGTTGCTGAGTTTTAAACCCAAATCTCATTTCTATGACGGCCTTAGCCGACATGCAGACTTGACTTTTGAAAGACACACATCTCTGTATATGCACGTACACACACACACGTCATCTTGTGTGATTAGTATATGCTCAGCCCAGCACTAAGGAATTCTCATGAGCCAGATCATGTGGGTTCTAATCCCAGCAGAGCCACCTGCTAGGGTTTTACCCCTGGGCAAATTACTCAACCTCTCTGTGCTCTAATTTCCTCACTTGTAAAACAGGGTTAAGATTATTAACCTCTCCACAGGGTTTTGCAGGCCTCATTAGCTTCTGGTATCAATGATTTTAAGTTGCTTCATATATTTAGTTAATTTGGTCTTTACAGCAAATATTCAGCAAGGACAAAACAATTGGGACTTACTGGACATCGTGGCTCACACCTGTCATGTCAGCACTTTGGGAGGTGGAGGCAAGTGGATCACTTGAGTCCAGGAGTTTGAGATCAGCCTGAACAACATAGTGAGACCCTGCCTCTACAAAACTACAAAATTAGCTGGGTGTGGTGGCACCTGCCTGTAGTCCCAGCTACTCAGGAGGCTGAGGTGGGAGTATCTCTTGAGGCTCGTAGGTAGAGGTTGCAGTGATCTGAGATCACATCACTGCACTCTAGCCTGGGTGACAGAGTGAGAGCCTGTCTCAAAAACAACAATAATTTAGATTTAGAAGAAAGAGTCTTTGGCTGAAAATCTGGAGGTGTTGAGATGAGGCTGAGTCTCCAGCCCTGTTACCCCCTCACTGGGTAGTGAGCACAGGTCACCCTCTATCTCTGGGTGGGAGCTCCTTGTTGCCAAATGCAGGTCTTGGAGTTGACCTGAGGTTTCTTCATGGTGCTCTAAGGTACTCACTTTAAGGAGAAGAAAACAAGGAGGGAGTGAGTCCCAAACAACTTCTAAGGCCATTCTGATTTTTAAAAAAACTTTCAACTTTGAGAACAGCATTGATTCACATGCAGTTGTATGAAATAATACAGAGAGTTCCCATATATACCCCTCACTCAGTTTTGCATATCTTGTACAACATCACGACCAAGAAATTGACATTGATGCAATCCACTGACCTTCTTCAGATTTCACCAGTTTTCCATGTGCTCATTTGTATGCATGTGTGTGTTCAGTTCTATGCAATTTTATCACATGTAGATACATGGGACCATCAGAGTAAAGATATAGAGCAATCATTACAAATATACCTTTGTGCTACCCTAGTAAAGCCACACCTATTTCCCAGGGTCCTCGCCTCCCTAATCCCTGACAATCCCTATTCTGTTCTCCATCTCTAGAATTTTGTCATTTCAAGATTATATAAATGGGATCATGCAGTACATGACCTTTTGAGATTGGTTTTTCCACTCAGTTAAGTTCCCTTGAAATTCCTGCAAATTGTCTTGTGTATCAGTGCTTTATTTTTCCTTTTTATTGCTGAGTAGTATTCCAGCAGCTCTTATTTTAACTGCTACATATATTGGTCTTTTTTGAGAGATTTCATCTAAAGAAAGGCTTCCTCGGCTCCAAAGAATTGTTTGAGAACCATTGAATATAACAATTAGATTGCAAAATTCTAAGGCCCTGGTTATGATATAGATAAATATAATCTCTACATTAAAATTTATACAGCTGTTTCCATTTAACAGTGAAATAAATCCCCTGACCCTTATAGGCATAATTTTATCTAACCTTGGACAGAAACAAGAGAGAACAAGAATGAGAGAGGGAGAATTTACTCCTGGGGGAGAATTAAAGAGTTCCCAGTCTTTTAAACTTAGGAGAAAAAAACAAATTTAGTTATCTCTGTTAGGATATCTTATCTTCAGTTTTCCTTCTCTTTTCATTCCATTGCCTGTTTGTATTTTCCCTCAATTCCCCAAATGCTGTTCCTCAAAAAAAAGTCACTTAAAACATTTTTTTATCAATTTTTTTTTTGAGACAGATTCTTACTCTGTCGCCCAGGCTGGAGTGCAGCAGCACAATCATGGCTCACTATACCCTTGACCCCAGGGTGCAAGCGATCCTCCCACCTCAGCTTCTCGAATAGCTGAGACTACAGGCATGCACCACCATGCCTGGTTAATTTTTGTATTTTTTTGTAGCAACAGGATTTTGCAATGTTGCTCAGGCTGGTCTCAAACTCCTGGGCTCAAGCCATCCTCCTGCTTCAGCCTCCCAAAGTGCTGAGATTACAGGAGTGAGCCACTGCACCCAGCCTCAAAATGGTGAATTGTAAAAGCCAGAAATACATTTCATGTCTTGACTTTCCAGTAAGAGAAAAACCTGCTGTTTATTTTGGATGGGGAAATATAAAGACATATTCCTTTCATGGAAATGAAGCCGGGGCTTCTTGTTGACCACTTGAAATGACTGCAGAGCAAATTATAAATAATAAAAAGAAAACTATTAAGTGTTTATGTGCCTTGGTTCTTCTCAAGTTCCTCTCCCAAGCATTTAAGCTCTCCAAAGTCTGTGAAGAGGATTCAGCATTTGATTTTGCAAACACCAGGACTTCAGATGCTCAGATAGAAAAGGAATGGTGTCTCAGAGGTCAATGCAATTAATATGCACTTCATAACACCTCATGCCTACACATTTCTTACAGCCATTATGACTGCCGGTTAGAACATGAATTATGGTTTAAGCCTAGTGTTGTGAGGAAGACAGATCATTTTTCCCCAAGGTAAGATTTCTGCTCTAATTTCTTTCCTTTGGTGCCTCTGAGTTATCACCCTCTTCCTCCACGTGTGCCAGCTCTGTTTGGACTTTCCTCTTTGTCCTTCACCTCCCTGTTTTCCCTTCCTCCAAATGCCCTGAAAGGCAAACTTGAAAGAAATTAACAAGTACTCAAGAGCTTAGAGATGCCTGCCTCCCTTTTATTTTAATTTTATTTTTTATTTTTTTGAGACAGAGTCTTGCCTATCGCCCAAGCTGGAGTCCAGTGGTGCGATCTTGGCTCACTACAACTGTTATGAGTTTGCAATTTGCCTAAATTTGGATGGGTTTCACCATTGGCTCCCAAAGGCAGGAATTATTGTATATATATATGTGTGTGTGTGTGTGTGTGCGTGTGTGTGTGTGTATACAGGCAGAATACACACAGAAAATATATATATATTTATATATATATTTTATATATATTATATAGTTTACATATATTATATATATTATATATATTTTATATATTATATATTTTATATATTATATATATTTTATATATTATATAACATATATTATATATATTTTATATATTATATATTATATAACATATATTATATATATTTTATATATTATATATTATATATTATATTTTTTATATATTATATATTATATGTTATATATTATATTATATATTATATGTTATATATTATATATAATATTATATATATCATATATTGTATATTATATATTATATATTATATATTACATATTACATATTATATATATTTTATATATTTTATATATTATATATTATATATATTTTTATATATTATATATATAATATATATTAGAGAGAGAGAGAGAGAGACGGAGTTTTGTTCTTGTTGCTCAGGCTGGAGTGCAATGGCGTGATCTCGGCCCACTGTAACCTCTGCCTCCCGGGTTCAAGAGATTCTCCTGCCTCAGCCTCTCGAGTGGCTGGGATTTCAGGCGCCCACCACCGCGCCCAGCTTTTTTTTTGTATTTTTAGTAGAGACGGAGTTTCACCATGTTGGTCAGGCTGGCCTAGAACTCCTGACCTCAGGTGATCCACCTGCCTTGGCCTCCCAAACTGCTGGAATTACAGGCATGAGCCACCATGTCCAGCTTGTTGTCTTTAAATTTATTGCCCTATTTTCAGTGCTTATATGCTTGTCACATTGTAGGCACTTAATATTTATTACATGAATTTGTTAAATAAATTTACCAAAAACGTGTAGTTTTGAAAGAATGCATCGGATGTGAAAGAGACACTTTCTTACAAAGATACCAAATCATTTCTCAACCATTTATATTTGAGCACATATTCTATGCCAGGAATTTTAAATGATAGAGCAATAAATGAACTCAGTCTAGTACAATTAAGACTATATATTTTAGCACTCTATTTCATATGTTAACCTTGATGCAGGGCAGGCCAGCCCCAGACTGGAGCTCAGCCCTGGTGGGTTCTTTGCTTCGCCCAGGAAAGAATCCAAGGGCAAGCCAGTGGTAGAAGAAAAGAGCTTTATTGAAACAGCAGTGTTATAGCCTAGGCTGGGTTATAGCTCTGTCACTTCTCCTGCAGAGCAGGGCCACCCTGTAGGCAGCGTGCTGAGACTAGCAGCTCAGTAGTTCTATAGTCATACCTACGTTTAATTACATGCAGATTAAGGAGTGGATTATGCAGAAATGTCTAGAAAAAGGGTAATAATGTCTAGGGTGTTGAGTTATTGGCATGGAAAGAACGGTAACTCCTGGATGTTCCCATGGCAATGGTAAACGGAAATGCCACCCTCGTGGGTGTGTCTTATGGAAAGCTGCTTCTGCTCCATTCCTGTTTTAGCTAGTCCTCAATTTGGTCCCGTGTCTGAACCCTGCCTCCAGAATCGAGTCCACCTCTTACATCATCCTCATTTAACTTAATATAATTATTCTAATCTGCTCCTTCCAAGTCATTCCTCAAGGTGGGAATGACTTTCCCCGTGCCTTTTTTCCTTCACATGGGGAAACTGTGACTCTGAGGGACTGTCCCCTACCAGTAAGTGGCAGAGGCCTCCACCCAGGTATTTAGAGACCAGGCAAGTGACAGGGACTAATTTAGAGCTTTGCTTAAATATTGGAGCCCCATATACGGCTGGTTCCTTCCCGTATTTGAACACATGCAAATTGTGATTGTTAACTTTATGTGTCTACTGGACTGGGTGGAGGGGTGCCCAGACACCTGCTCAAACATTATGTCTGGATGTGTGTGGTGAGAGTGTTTCTGAAAAAGACTGGCATTTGAATTGTTGAACTGAGTAAAAAAGATTCACCCATCAGTCATGCACCATCCAATCTGATGAGGGCGTAAATAGAACAGAAAGGTGGAGGAAGGGAGAATTTGCTTTCTCTGCTTGAGGTGGGACATCCATCTTCTCCTGCCCTCAGACATTGGAACTCTTGGTTCTTGGGCCTTCAGACTCTGGGACTTACACCAGCAAACCCCTCTGCCCTCCACCTTGTTCTCAGGTCTTCAGCCTTAGAGTGGGGGTTATGTCATCAGCTTCCCAAGCCTTGAGACTTGGACTGAATTTCACCACCAGCTTTCCTGGTTCTCCAGCTTGCAGACAGCATATTGTGTGATTTCTCGGCCTTCATAATCACATGGCAAATCCCCTGTTATGTATCTATCTATATCATATGAGTTCTGTTTCTCTGGAGAACCCTGTATACTCTCAATGCACCCTCATGGAATTATCACGCAGATACCAACTGAACATCCACTAAAGTGTTAGGTGCTTCATGGAAATTCATAGATAAGTAAGACATGACCTGTGCTCCCAAAAAGCTTACAGACGAGTAGTGAACCTGACAGACTCAAAGTCAAATTTGCTACAAAGACAGGATCAATGTGGAGGGGAAAGTGGATGTAGCTTGGTGTTTGTAAACAATATCTTTAAGATGGGACAGCTCTGTGACTTTAGGTGAGAAGCTCAACCTCTCTGAACCTCAGGAAAGTGGACTTATTAATGATGCATAACCCCTATGGATCGTTGAGATTATTATGTCACCCACTACACAAGCTGATGCAAGTGGCACACTTAACACAGCATCAGCCATACTTATAAGCTCCTGATAACTGGTATTAGAAGTAGTTTGGAGAAAAAAGCCCTCTCTTTTTTTTTTCTATCAGCAAACCTAGTGTGTATTAGATTGAACTACATATAAACTTGCTGCTTTTGTAGCTTAAAAGCATTCAAATGTCAAAAATTTCATACGGTTCAACCTAATCAGATTATTTACTGGGAGGAATTGACAGACAAGTCCATAAACAGGGAGCGAACTGTCTTAAAACTCAGGAAAACCGGGTGCCCTGATTTGCTGTGACCATTTGGCTTAGTGTCCCCTGGACTGGTCACTACCCTGCCTCCCTCTCTGAAACCTCCCTCTCTGCTCAACTGGTGAGTTCCCACTGCAAAACTTCAAGAAAGGAAATACCAGTAGCTGTAAGAGTGTCACAACTTGGTTTTATGTGGCAGTAACCAACCCCTAGCCAATTGTAGAGTTTGGCTAGGAGTATACTCCACACCTTGTTAAAAAAAAATCATATAGCAACTTCTGTGGGAATTCATTGTACAGCAGTTGCTACTTAGGAGGACCACTTGCTGACAGGGCAGGGAGGTTGGGCTTTTAAAAGCAAGTTGCAGTAAGAGGTTGGTTTCTAATTGACCAGCAAGTATCCTACTGAGGTCAAAGAACAGATGTTGGCAAAGAAGGTACCTGGGGTGGAGAATGGGAAAGGAAGTGACGCACTGTTTGCTAAAACTTTAAGATGCATAAAGGTTTATTTTCTCATCTTGGCTTTCCCTGGTTCACTGTGTGATAGGAACAAGTTGTTTCCCCTACTTGAGCCTTTATTTTCTCTTTTTCATAGTGGAGCTAAAAAGTAAAATAGCTACCACAAAGGGCTGTTGGAAGAATTAATTAAAATAATGTGTGTAAATTACATGGCACATTCGTGGTTAATATCAGTTTTCCAGTGTCTGATGTGTGCCAAGAACCATGCCAGGAACTTTACATGTATTTTTTCAATTAATTCTCGCAGCAGCTCTATGAGTTGAACACACTTATGTCCATTCTGCAAGAAGAAACTGCATTCAGGCTGGGTGCAGTGGCTTATACCTATAATCTCAGCACTGTGGGAGGCGAAGGTGGGGGGATTGCTTGAACCCAGGCATTTGAGACCAGCCTCAGCAACAGAGACCCCCATGTCTACAAAAAAAAGTTAAAAATTGGGAGGCTGAGGTGGAAGGATCACTTGAGCCCAGGAAGTTGATGCTGCAGTGAGCTGTGATCACACCAGTGCATTCCAGCCTGGGTGATAGAGCAAGACCCTGTCTCTTAAAAAATAAAAAATAAACTGCATTCAGAAAGGTTAAGCCACCTATTGGAAGTCATACAGCAAAAAAAAAAAAAAAAAAAGCAACAACTAACAACTAGAATTTGAATCATAAAGGAAGATTTGGATTTGGATAACTTGGAGGGTTAACAGAAATTGCTGTTTGGTTGTCTCTTTAAATCCCAGTTCCAATTCAGCGACACTTGGCAAATATTTATCATGCCCAGACTCATTGCCAGGTGCTCTGTTAGGTGAATGCAACATGATCTCACGCTCACCTGTTGGAACTTCCAGTGATTTGTGACTAAAATTTTTAAAAAGTTAAAGACAGCACCTAAATGAAAATAATCTTGAGGGATGTCTCAATGTATTTCCATAGCTACATGAGAGAGCTTCTGGAACATTCTAGGAAGGGAGTGTCTGGTGGCCTCTGCCACCCACCTGCTCCCTATAGACAGATAAGAACAACTCTCTGGGCTAGTGGAGAGACGTGTGAGTTTCAATTAGCTCACTTTTATAGAACATATTTTCAGAGGTGTACTTTTTGACACAAGTGGGGGTGCCCCCCCATGTGCAAGTACAGACCCCAGGCTTTGGGCAGTCATTAAGGGAGGAAGCATTGCCCAATGCAGGCACTAAAACAGGCAGAGACACACAGGCTAATTCTCCTGCCCTGACCCCCGCTTCTCGCACCTGGAAAATTATAACCTAGAAACAACTGGCTCGTTAGTTGTGGGGAACCACCCACAGGCTGAAACAGCTTCCTATGCCCAAGGCTGACCAGTCACCCCCTCTTTACCCAGCCCTCACCCCCAAGCAAAGAAGGAGACTAGCTGACTCTGAACTTTCTTTTAGGTGTCTGAAGCTAAGATACACCCTTCTAGCATTAGGAAGAAAGACCATTTCCCTCACCACCTGTATTAGTCCGTTTTCACACTGCTGTAAAGAACTGCCTGAGGCTGAGCCCGGTAGCTCACACTTGTAATCCCAGCACTTTGGGAGGCCAAGGTAGGCAGATCACATGAGGCCAGGAGTTCCAGAACAGCCTGGCCAACATGGCAAAACC